>NC_000009.12:32585757-32737272 GCF_000001405.40 Homo sapiens | reverse complement strand
CCTGACACTCAGGTACCGTAGGAATTCTCAGGCCCTAATCTTGGGTATGAATTCATTCTAACTTAAGGGCTTCAACTAGAGCTTTCCCAAGCTTTTCTCAGAAGAATGATGAACTCTACCTTTGCAAAGATTATTGAGGAATAAATAACATCTGCCTGCAGGAACTGTGCTCTCTTCAGCTGGTTTTAGAAATAACAGATAAAATCCAAAGTAGACCTTTTTACCTCATTTGGGCTTAAGAAGGGAGTGAATGGAAAAGTTCTTTTTTGGAGCCCTCTAAAGTCCCACATGTCCCTGGCTGTGGATGGGACCATTCTTTCATAATCTGTGTTCCCACTACAGTACTTGTTCAGTCTGGATCATTAGACTTCAAACTGGTTTTATTTATTTTCTCAAACAATTATAATATTGATGGCAGATGTGAACATTGAATAAAAGCAGAACTTCCATGGTTGATATGGACATATTTCATATGTGTCAAAATGTCAGGAAAGGCTGGGTCCATCTGGGGACACTTCTAGTATCAAAGGCAGGTGCTGAGTGGCACAGGATGTGAGATGCCACAAGAAGAGTGATTGGCTGTGTCTCTTTCATACTGGGGGCAAAGCTTATACTTGTAGGTTTAATTCTTCTTTCTCCCTTGGTTCCTTGATGCTTATCAAAGGTTGAGGATTATTATGGTTATTCAAGAGGGTTAGTCTGGGAGGTAAAAAAAAAAGGTCACTAAGGGATGAATTTTCCTCTGTTTTTAAAACAGGAAAAGGTTGAACTATAACATCACTGTGCCATGTGGAGGGGGCTTAACCTGTATTATAAATCTTTGTAACTTTTGTTTATTTGAACTAAGTTAGAATTACTTGCTCCTATGATGTTGGCAAGATCTCATGGTATTTCCTAAGACTCTTCAAGCCAGGCTGGTCTCTGCAGTTCTGAGTTCTCCCAAGTTCTCCTTCCCACCCTCCTGGGGCTTTGCATATGTTAATAGAAACCATCCTGGCCCCGCATGTCATTTCAGGACCTGAAATGGATTGTTGTATTGAGTCTTTCGAGAAATAGACAATAGATTCAAATACAGAGGGAAAGAGGTCACCTGGTATTCCCTTGATACCCAGCAAACAGATTCTTGTGAGAAATAATACCATCAAATGAACTTTCAGGTTCTTCCTTGCTCTGATGTTCTACTATACTCCACCCAGTACTGTTAAGGAGAATAATTAAATTTTATAAGAGTGAAGAGACAAAAAGCAAAATATATACCTGCGTATTGGAATTGGGATAAATATTACTTATACTATTTATAATATTATCGTGTTAAACCCAATCAGAATAATAAAGTAAAAATAAAATTCCAGTTCTGAAATGTAGTATATGCCACAGAGAAAAACAGTCTTTTCCAGACTTTTTACACATGCATCCCCACAACCTTTTGTTCTAGGAGCCCAACTGTTGTATTTAGACTAAGATGCTCAAATATTCTGCTAAATGAAGCCACAGCTGCTCTGTCAGAAACATCACGTTAAAATGTGAAACGATTTGGCAATGTTCTGAGGACGACTTTCATTTCATGAGCTACAAAACCACTCTGGATGTCATGAGGACTTTGAGAAGCTCTTGCAGTTCTTGAAGAGGGGCCAGGAAAGCAGAGGCCAGCTGCAGCTGAGCAAAGTAGAATGGTGAAATGAAAATTGATTTTTTAAATTAAATTTTATTTATTTTTTCCACATGTTTCAAAGTCATTCACATGATTCAAAATTCTCAAGGTACAAAAAAAAAAAAAAAAAAAAGACACTGACATTTTCCTTCCTTCTCAGTCTCTCAACCATCCGGTTTCCCGACAAGCAACAGTGTTGACATTTTCCTGCAAATTTGCAGGTATATTTTATGCCTATTTCATGTTCTCCTACCTTTTTCCTCTACCTGTAGTAGTTAACCATACTTACTATAAGTGGTAACTCAGTATAGTTTAAATTGCATCTCTCTTATTATGAATGAAGTTGATTATGCTTTCTGATGTCTTGAGACATTTGTATTTCATTTCTTGTGGAGTGATAATTTTTGTTCATTTTTTTCTATTGCATTTTCAGACTTTTTTTCTTATTGATTAGTAGGAGTTCTTTTATACTAAGGAATTTACCCTTTCTCTGTGATATGAGCTATAAAAACTGTTTCCCCATTTTGTTGGCTTTCATTCATGTTGGGTTTTGCCATGTAAGATCTTTGATTTTTTTCTTTTTTTTTTTTATACATTAAGTTTTAGGGTACATGTGCACATTGTGCAGGTTAGTTACATATGTATACATGTGCCATGCTGGTGCACTGCACCCACTAACTCGTCATCTAGCATTAGGTATATCTCCCAATGCTATCCCTCCCCGCTCCCCCTGCCCCACAACAGTCCCCGGAGTGTGATATTCCCCTTCCTGTGTCCATGTGATCTCATTGTTCAATTCCCACCTATGAGTGAGAATATGCGGTGTTTGGTTTTTTGTTCTTGCGATAGTTTACTGAGAATGATGATTTCCAATTTCATCCATGTCCCTACAAAGGACATGAACTCATCATTTTTTATGGCTGCATAGTATTCCATGGTGTATATGTGCCACATTTTCTTAATCCAGTCTATCATTGTTGGACATTTGGCTTGGTTCCAAGTCTTTGCTATTGTGAATAATGCCACAATAAATATACGTGTGCATGTGTCTTTATAGCAGCATGATTTATAGTCCTTTGGGTATATACCCAGTAATGGGATGGCTGGGTCAAATGGTATTTCTAGTTCTAGATCCCTGAGGAATCGCCACACTGACTTCCACAATGGTTGAACTAATTTACAGTCCCACCAACAGTGTAAAACTGTTCCTATTTCTCCACATCCTCTCCAGCACCTGTTGTTTCCTGACTTTTTAATGATTGCCATTCTAACTGGTGTGAGATGGTATCTCATTGTGGTTTTGATTTGCATTTCTCTGATGGCCAGTGATGATGAGCATTTTTTCATGTGTTTTTTGGCTGCATAAATGTCTTCTTTTGAGAAGTGTCTGTTCATGTCCTCCGCCCACTTTTTGATGGGGTTGTTTGTTTTTTTCTTGTAAATTTGTTTGAGTTCATTGTAGATTCTGGACATTAGCCCTTTGTCAGATGAGTAGGTTGCGAAAATTTTCTGCCATTTTGTAGGTTGCCTGTTCACTCTGATGGTAGTTTCTTTTGCTGTGCGGAAGCTCTTTAGTTTAATTAGATCCCATTTGTCAATTTTGGCGTTTGTTGCCATTGCTTTTGGTGTTTTGGACATGAAGTCCTTGCCCATGCCTATGTCCTGAATGGTAATGCCTAGGTTTTCTTCTAGGGTTTTTATGGTTTTAGGTCTAATATTTAAGTCTTTAATCCATCTTGAATTGATTTTTGTATAAGGTGTAAGAAAGGGATCCAGTTTCAGCTTTCTACATATGGCTAGCCAGTTTTCCCAGCACCATTTATTAAATAGGGAATCCTTTCCCCATTGCTTGTTTTTCTCAGGTTTGTCAAAGATCAGATAGTTGTAGATATGCGGCGTTATTTCTGAGGGCTCTGTTCTGTTGCATTGATCTATATCTCTGTTTTGGTACCAGTACCATGCTGTTTTGGTTACTGTAGCCTTGTAGTATAGTTTGAAGTCAGGTAGTGTGATGCCTCCAGCTTTGTTCTTTTGCCTTAGGATTGACTTGGCGATGCGGGCTCTTTTTTGGTCCCATATGAACTTTAAAATAGTTTTTTCCAATTCTGTGAAGAAAGGCATTGGTAGCTTGATCGGGATGGCATTGAATCTGTAAATTACCTTGGGCAGTATGGCCATTTTCACGATATTGATTCTTCCTACCCATGAGCATGGAACGTTCTTCCATTTGCTTGTATCCTCTTTTATTTCCTGGAGCAGCGGTTTGTAGTTCTCCTTGAAGAGGTCCTTCACATCCCTTGTAAGTTGGATTCCTAGGTATTTTATTCTCTTTGAAGCAATTGTGAATGGGAATTCACTCATGATTTTGCTCTCTGTTTGTCTGTTGCTGGTGTATAAGAATGCTTGTGATTTTTGTACATTGATTTTGTATCCTGAGACTTTGCTGAAGTTGCTTATCAGCTTAAGGAGATTTTGGGCTGAGACAATGGGGCTTTCTAGATATACAATCATGTCGTCTGCAAACAGGGACAATTTGACTTCCTCTTTTCCTAATTGAATACCCTTTATTTCCTTCTCCTGCCTAATTGCCCTGGCCAGAACCTCCAACACTATATTGAATAGGAGTGGTGAGAGAGGGCATCCCTGTCTTGTGCCAGTTTTCAAAAGAAATGCTTCCAGTTTTTGCCCATTCAGTATGATATTGGCTGTGGGTTTGTCATAGATAGCTCTTATTATTTTGAAATACGTCCCATCAATACCTAATTTATTGAGAGTTTTTAGCATGAAGGGTTGTTGAATTTTGTCAAAGGCTTTTTCTGCATCTATTGAGATAATCATGTGGTTTTTGTCTTTGGCTCTGTTTATATGCTGGATTACATTTATTGATTTGCGTGTATTAAACCAGCCTTGCATCCCAGGGATGAAGCCCACTTGATCATGGTGGATAAGCTTTTTGATGTGCTGCTGGATTCGGTTTGCCAGTATTTTATTGCGGATTTTTGCATCAATGTTCATCAAGGATATTGGTCTAAAATTCTCTTTTGTTGTTGTGTCTCTGCCCGGCTTTGGTATCAGAATGATGCTGGCCTCATAAAATGAGTTAGGGAGGATTCCCTCTTTTTCTATTCATTGGAATAGTTTCAGAAGGAATGGTACCAGTTCCTCCTTGTACCTCTGGTAGAATTCAGCTGTGAATCCATCTGGTCCTGGACTCTTTTTGGTTGGTAAGCTATTGATTATTGCCACAATTTCAGAGCCTGTTATTGGTCTATTCAGAGATTCAACTTCTTCCTGGTTTAGACTTGGGAGGGTGTATGTGTCGAGGAATTTATCCATTTCTTCTAGATTTTCTAGTTTATTTGCGTAGAGGTGTTTGTAGTATTCTCTGATGGTAGTTTGTATTTCTGTGGGATCGGTGGTGATATCCCCTTTATCATTTTTTATTGCGTCTATTAGATTCTTCTCTCTTTTTTTCTTTATTAGTCTTGCTAGCGGTCTATCAATTTTGTTGATCCTTTCAAAAACCCAGCTCCTGGATTCATTAATTTTTTGAAGGGTTTTTTGTGTCTCTATTTCCTTCAGTTCTGCTCTGATTTTAGTTATTTCTTGCCTTCTGCTAGCTTTTGAATGTGTTTGCTCTTGCTTTTCTAGTTCTTTTAATTGTGATGTTAGGGTGTCAATTTTGGATCTTTCCTGCTTTCTCTTGTGGGCATTTAGTGCTATAAATTTCCCTCTACACACTGCTTTGAATGCGTCCCAGAGATTCTGGTATGTTGTGTCTTTGTTCTCGTTGGTTTCAAAGAACATCTTTATTTCTGCCTTCATTTCGTTATGTACCCAGTAGTCATTCAGGAGCAGGTTGTTCAGTTTCCATGTAGTTGAGCGGTTTTGAGTGAGATTCTTAATCCTGAGTTCTAGTTTGATTCCACTGTGGTCTGAGAGATAGTTTGTTATAATTTCTATTCTTTTACATTTGCTGAGGAGAGCTTTACTTCCAAGTATGTGGTCAATTTTGGAATAGGTGTGGTGTGGTGCTGAAAAGAATGTATATTCTGTTGATTTGGGGTGGAGAGTTCTGTAGATGTCTATTAGGTCTGCTTGGTTTAGAGCTGAGTTCAATTCCTGGATATCCTTGTTGACTTTCTGTCTCGTTGACCTGTCTAATGTTGACAGTGGATGTTAAAGTCTCCCATTATTAATGTATGGGAGTCTAAGTCTCTTTGTAGGTCACTCAGGACTTGCTTTATGAATCTTGGTGCTCCTGTATTGGGTGCATATATATTTAGGATAGTTAGCTCTTCTTGTTGAATTGAACCCTTTACCATTATGTAATGGCCTTTTTTGTCTCTTTTGATCTTTGTTGGTTTAAAGTCTGTTTTATCAGAGACTAGTATTGCAACCCCTGCCTTTTTTTGTTTTCCATTTGCTTGGTAGACCTTCCTCCATCCTTTTATTTTGAGCCTATGTGTGTCTCTGCACATGAGATGGGTTTCCTGAATACAGAACACTGATGGGTCTTGACTCTTTATCCAATTTGTCAGTCTGTGTCTTTTAATTGGAGCATTTAGTCCATTTACATTTAAAGTTAATATTGTTATGTGTGAATTTGATCCTGTCATGATGATTTAGCTGGTTATTTTGCTCGTTAGTTGATGCAGTTTCTTCCTAGTCTTGATGGTCTTTACATTTTGGCATGATTTTGCAGCGGCTGGTACCGGTTGTTCCTTTCCATGTTTAGCACTTCCTTCAGGAGCTCTTTTAGGGCAGGCCTGGTGGTGACAAAATCTCTCAACATTTGCTTCTCTGTAAAGTATTTTATTTCTCCTTCGCTTATGAAGCTTAGTTTGGCTGGACATGAAATTCTGGGTTGAAAATTCTTGTCTTTAAGAATGTTGAATATCGGCCCCCACTCTCTTCTGGCTTGTAGGGTTTCTGCCGAGAGATCCGCTGTTAGTCTGATGGGCTTCCCTTTGAGGGTAACCCGACCTTTCTCTCTGGCTGCCCTTAACATTTTTTCCTTCATTTCAACTTTGGTGAATCTGACAATTATGTGTCTTGCAGTTGCTCTTCTCGAGGAGTATCTTTGTGGCGTTCTCTGTATTTCCTGAATCTCAACATTGGCCTGCCTTGCTAGATTGGGGAAGTTCTCCTGGATAATATCCTGCAGAGTGTTTTCCAACTTGGTTCCATTCTCCCCATCACTTTCAGGTACACCAATCAGACATAGATTTGGTCTTTTCACATAGTCCCATATTTCTTGGAGGCTTTGCTCATTTCTTTTTATTCTTTTTTCTCTAAACTTCCCTTCTCGCTTCATTTCATTCATTTCATCTTCCATTGCTGATACCCTTTCTTCCAGTTGATCGCATCGGCTCCTGAGGCTTCTGCATTCTTCACGTAGTTCTCGAGCCTTGGTTTTCAGCTCCATCAGCTCCTTTAAGCACCTCTCTATATTGGTTATTCTAGTTATGTATTCTTCTAAATTTTTTTCAAAGTTTTCAACTTCTTTGCCTTTGGTTTGAATGTCCTCCCGTAGCTCAGAGTTATTTGATCGTCTGAAGCCTTCTTCTCTCAGTTCGTCAAAGTCATTCTCCGTCCAGCTTTGTTCCGTTGCTGGTGAGGAACTGCGTTCCTTTGGAGGAGGAGAGGCGCTCTGCTTTCTAGAGTTTCCAGTTTTTCTGTTCTGTTTTTTCCCCATCTTTGTGGTTTTATCTACTTTTGGTCTTTGATGATGGTGAGGTACAGATGGGTTTTTGGTGTGGATGTCCCTTCTGTTTGTTAGTTTTCCTTCTAACAGACAGGACCCTCAGCTGCAGGTCTGTTGGAATACCCTGCCATGTGAGGTGTCAGTGTGCCCCTGCTGGGGGGTGCCTCCCAGTTAGGCTGCTCGGGGGTCAGGGGTCAGGGACCCACTTGAGGAGGCAGTCTGCCCGTTCTCAGATCTCCAGCTGCGTGCTGGGAGAACCACTGCTCTCTTCAAAGCTGTCAGACAGGGACGTTTAAGTCTGCAGAGGTTACTGCTGTCTTTTTGTTTGTCTGTGCCCTGCCCCCAGAGGTGGAGCCTACAGAAGCAGGCAGGCCTCCTTGAGCTGTGGTGGGCTCCGCCCAGTTCGAGCTTCCCGGCTGCTTTGTTTACCTAATCAAGCCTGGGCAATGGCAGGCACTCCTCCCCCAGCCTCGCTGCTGCCTTGCCGTTTGATCTCAGACTGCTGTGCTAGCAATCAGTGAGACTCCGTGGGCGTAGGACCCTCCGAGCCAGGTGCGGGATATAATCTCATGGTGCGCCGTTTTTTAAGCCCGTTGGAAAAGCGCAGTATTCAGGTGGGAGTGACCCGATTTTCCAAGTGCCGTCCGTCACCCCTTTCTTTGACTCAGAAAGGGAACTCCCTGACCCCTTGTGCTTCCCAAATGAGGCAATGCCTCACCCTGCTTCGGCTCGTGCACGGTGCGCACACCCACTGACCTGCGCCCACTGTCTGGCACTCCCTAGTAAGATGAACCTGGTACCTCAGATGGAAATGCAGAAATCACCCGTCTTCTGCGTCGCTCACGCTGGGAGCTGTAGACCGGAGCTGTTCCTATTCGGCCATCTTGGCTCCTCCCCCTGACTTTTTTCTTAGTCAAGTTCATCATTCCTTTCTTTTATGGTTTCTGGGTTTTTATTGCAATTAGGCTTTTCCCCCTCCAAGATTATAAAACAATTATTCCATAATTTCTTCCAGTACTTTTATGATATCAGTTTTTATGCTTACATCTTTTGTCCATTTGGAATTTATTCTGGTGGTTGTGATTTCTATTGTTATGGTTTCTTTATAATTTGGTCCTGAAGTTACTCTCTTGAGAGTGGTTAAAAGCAAGGATAGAACTCTCTAGGAGAGCCCTGAGTAGGGAGAAAGTTAGGTTTGGGTGAGACACAATGAGGAGGTAAAGCCAGAGGGCATGAAAGAGAAGAAATGCATTACTCACAGGTCAGAGAGGCCACAGACACTGACAGGAGGCCTACAGGAGTCTGCAGGTGCTAGGAAGCTCAACCATGGTTAGGGAGTGGGTGCTTTTATTAATATCCATGGGTGTTATTCCTTGGGCTTTCCCACAACGTTTATGGATTAGCTAATTTAAAGAAAACACACAGGAAGGGGGACCTCATTTACATGACTCTGGTGTTGACCATTGGGATTTATTGTGGTCAGCAGCTGTGGGGTGTGTTGAGTTTTAGGTCGGTGAGATGAGGAACAAGTGGGCTATTTCGCAAACAACCATACAGGAAGGGGAAGTTTTAACCAGGCCAAAGGTAATTGGGTATGAGTAGTTTCAAATAATATGTCAAGCCTAAAAATGGATGCTGTTAAGTATGGATCTAACTTTATTTTTGTCTCAGTGGCTAACTCATATCCCAGTTCTATGCATTTACATGACTCATATTTTCCCCCCTGACTCCAGGTGCCTGTATATATTGGATCCATTTCTGGACATTGGATCCATATTCTATCCCACTGAGCTGTTGATTTGGCCATGTGACAGTACTATGCAGTTTTAGTTCTTATATTTTTATAATATGTTTTGACGTCTGGTGGTGACAGCTCCCCCCTTCTTTATTTCGTCACTATTTCTGTTTGTTGCTTCTTCCATCTAAACATTAGAATCATCTTGACTAGTTAAAACAATCCTGCTGGTATTTTTAATTTGTATTTTATTAAATGTCTTAGAGAGACTTGGCATATTATAACAGAGTCTTAGGACTGTATTATTAGAATGGTAAGGGCTTGATAAAGAAGGGGAAGAGAATAGATTACCCCCAATGTATTCACAGGAAGAATTGAAATGTAATCAGATCTGGGATGGTGGCTCATGCCTGTAATCCTAGCACTTTGGGAGGCCAAGGCAGGAGGATTACTTGAGCCCAGGAGTTTGAGACCAGCCTGGGAACATAGTGAGACCTTGTATCTACCCAAACAAATAAACAAACAAAAAAGAAGAGGGTCCCTGTCTCTACTAAAAATACAAAATTTAGCTGGATGTGGTGGCACACGCTTGTAGTCCCAGCTACTCAGGAGGCTGAGGCAGGAGAATCGCTTGAACCCGGGAGGCAGAGGTTGCAGTGAGCCAAGATTATGCCGCTGCGCTCCAGCCTGGTGACAGAGTGAGACTCCGCCTCAAAAAAAAAAAAAGAGGGACTTGCTGGGAGAAACTGGTGCTATAAGAACATCAGTCTGGGCTTCAGGACACCCAAAGAAGCCATTGAGGGAACCTATATGGACAAGAAATGTCCCTTCACTGGTAATGTCTCCATCTGAAGGCAGATCCTGTCTGGTGAGGGGTCCAAGATGAAGATGGAGAGGACCACTGTCATCCACTAGGATTATCTCTGCTACATGTACAAGTACAGTTGCTCCAAGAAGTGCCATAAGAATGTGTCCGTGAGCCTGTCCTCCTGCTTCAGGGAAGTCTAGGTTGGCATATCATCGTGGGTGAGTGCTAGTCCCCGAGCAAGACCCTGTACTGCAGTACGCTCAAGTCACCAAGACTGCCAGCACCAAGAAGCAATTCCAGAAGTTCTGGGACTGGATGTCTGCCCACTCCCCAAAATGAAATAAAGTTATTTTCTCATTAAAAAAATGTTTGATAAACACTGTCCACTGTATTGTCCCTTGGAGATTTACAATGAACAGTAGCCAATAAAGACTTTGAGACATTGTCCAGGAAAGATACCTAATTACCTCTGTTTACTATGTGGCTTCCCAAACGTGTTTCACCATGGAGTCCTCTCTCCAAATACTATCTCTTAATATTACACAGTACACTCAGGAAAGCTCAGTTTGGAGACCTTCAGGGCCAACTGCAGGTATTTGAAAGAGATTTTCTGAATGTAAGGTCCTTCCAATGCTGACATTCATTGATTCTAAGGATTAATGAGCTCAGAATCTAGGAAACAGTACTTGGAAAGTTATTACTGAATCCTTAAGTGCATCCCCTCTGGGACAACAGGTGATCAAATACCATTTTCCATTTTCCACTATTATACTCCTATGTGAATTCACTAAAATGGAATAAACTTGCATGTTTCATGCCATTTATTCATTCACTTGGCTCTTATTAAGTGCCTACTATGTGCTGGACCCTGCCTGGTCCTCTTTCATGAGTGAGGAGGGGCCTCTACACCAGGGCGAGAGGGCCTGGGAAACTGAGCCTCTGGGCTCCCCTCTTGCCTCATAGTTCCTCCTCCTCATGTTCACTTTGAGGTATATTTTTCTAAGAGCAATCCCCCTGGAAACTGTCTTGTTCTGTGTGGGAAAATTATCATCCTGGGTCTCTGGCAACAAGCACTATTTGTGTTCCTGGATATGACTGTGACATAGAAGTCTGACTGCAGGCAGGTTGAAGCAGCAGGAAAAAGAGAAAGGAATTCCTGCAAGTGGTAGGGCCTCAATTTAAAACACACATATTTCATTGATATCATTTGCACATGAAAAAGGCACAAAGGTAACTGAAGAAAAGTGCAGAAAAAGAGCAAGCGTTCCTGTGCTTTTCAAAATCATCTTCAGCCGGGCGCGGTGGCTCACGCCTGCAATCCCAGCAATTTGGGAGGCCAAGGCAGGCAGATTGCTTGAGCCCAGGAGTTCGAGGCTAGCCTGGGCAACTGGGGAAACCCTGTCTCTACAAAAAATACAAAAATTAGCCAGGCTTGGTGGTGCGTGCCTGTAGTCCCAGCTACTTGGGACGCTGAGGTAGGAGGATCGCTCGAGCCTGGGAGGTGGAGGTTGCAGTGAGCTGTGATCACGCCGCTGTACTCCAGCTTGGGCAACAGAGCAAGACCCTGTCTCAAAACAAAATAAGACAAAATTATCTGCTTTGGCAGTAATCTTCCTCTATTATGAAATCTCTTTGAAATAAGTACAGGGAAAATGATTAGAGGCAGCATCACACAGAGGCTACGCATCTGGCTTGACTAGCTGGGTGACTCAACACTAAGACTCCTCTTGGCCCTGAGATGCTGGAATAACCACCTTTACCAAAGACTTCAGATCTCATGGTCAACATTAATTGCAATGCAAGGTTTGTCTTTGGTTTTGATGTGCTTCCATGTTCTTGATATGAATTTATAAGTGTGTGTGTGTGTGTGTGTGTGTGTGTGTGTTTGTGTGTAGTGGTTCTCTTCTCTTATCAAAAGACATTCTGGACAGATTAAAAATAGCAGATGACTACCATCTTTATGATGCTGTCTCAGGGTCAGCCACGTAGCCAGGGGGAGGGAGAGGGAAGTGGGTCACTCTCTACTCCTCTTCTACCTGCTTCAACCATAGCATCTTTGCTGTTGCTTTTTAAAAAGTCTGTTTTGCATACCGAGGTTCTATATTAGGTGTGGTTTGAAGAAAGTGATTTGTCGTTTGCTGCTAAATCAGAATATTTAGAAACCACAAACTTAAGCTCTCTCAGTTTGTAAACAGTCTCAGAAATGTTATGTAATTTTTCTCATAGTCACACAGCTATTAATAGTTGGTAGAGGCCAGCACAGTGGCTCACGCCTGTAATCCCAGCACTCTGGGAGTCTGAGGCAGGCGGATCATGAGGTCAAGAGATCGAGACCATCCTGGCCAACATGGCAAAACCCAGTCTCTACTAAAAGTACAAAAATTTGGTGGGCATGGTGGTGCGCGCCTGTTGTCCCAGCTACTCGGGAGGCTGAGAATCAAGTGATTCTCCTATCACTTGAACCTGGGAAGTGGAGGTTGCAGTGAGCTGAGATTGTGCCACTGCACTCCAGCCTGGCAACAGACTGTCTCAAAAAAAAAAAAAGAAAAAAAATTGTTGGTAGAAAAATTGGGATGCTGCTGTCAGAGGCATTTTGCCAACCAACATATTTTGAAGCTTGATTGTGTATAAGGTCCTGTACAAGGCACTGCATAGAAATACAAAGATGACTATCTCACAGCACTCATAGTAATTTAGGGAAGATATGGAAAACATACACGAAAGAATTCATAGGAAAAAATGTGTGGCAGTCTGTATTTTCTGAAAATGTCTACAGCAAAATTTCTGTAGAACTTTGCCATTCTTCATTAAGAAGTGGAATCTATTTCCCCTGCCGTTGAACCTGGGCAGGCTTGGGAAGCTCCAGCCAAATAAATGCAGCAGAACTGGTAAGGCTAAATTAAAAGAGGCAATACAGTTCTCACACGGCACGCATTCTCTCTCTCTTAAGATGTTCAGCCTCAGAACGTAGCCACCTTGCTGTGAGAAAGCCCAACCATCTTGTACAGCGAGACCACATGGAGAGGCGCATGTGGAAAGGAACGGAGGCTACAAGCCGATAGCCAGCATCGACTGCCAGGCACGGAGAGTGAGTCTTCAGATGAATCCAGCCTCAGCCTAGAGTCTTTTGTCTCAGGCCCCAGACACTGTGGAGCAGGGACAAGCCATCCCCACTGTGTCCCACCCGCATTCCTGATCCACAGAATCTATGAGCACAATAAATAGTTGCTTTATGGCAGAGAAACTGGAACAGAGTGATTCTATCTGGGTGTTCATGGACAATGTAATGAACTGTGGGAGCAAGTGCTGTGAACTGCCTGGAATGTTTTCCTCCCACCTGCTTTCTCGTGTAACAATCCAGCCTCCTTGGCCTGGCTAATGATAATACTCTATTCCCTTGGGCTCTGTGGTTAGGGCAGGGATAAGCACATGACCCAAACAGGGCTCATCAGAGTCTTTCCTGGGATGATAAATGAACAATGACAGAGAAGGGGGAGGGTGTCTTATACTTCTGAGCCTGTTGGGCTGGGGGAGATAATGTAAAATGAAAGAGTTAGAGAGAAAATTCTAGTTGCATTAATCCCTAGGGTTCCCGCAGCCATCCCTCGGAACATGTAGGCCACCCCAGTATTCTTTCCAACCACTGAAACTAATACATTTTCTTTTACATACGTTAGATTTCTGTCCCTTTCCTCTAAGAACTCTGCCTGATTTAAAGGCTTTGTGGAGAATATGGCATTTGAACAAGGCCTTGGATGATGGTAGGGTATTGACATTCTGACATGGGGAAGGGGTTTTGGAAGGAGGGGACCGTGTCCACGGAGGCAGAGCAGTGCAGCAGCTGAAAGCATTAACTCCAAATGCCAGCTCCACTTCTTACTTAGAGAACTTGGACTTTACCTCATCAGACTGCAGTTTTCTCAACTGTTAAGTAAAATAGCATCTAAGACATGGAGTTATTGTTAGGATTAAGAGACACCCATAACCCATATTAGCTCTGAGTGTGGTGCATGTTGTTTAGTTGGTGGCTACCGTGCAGGACACAGCGTGTGGATGAGGAGCAGCACATGGCAGGAGTCTGGCCGAGAAAAAGCTGATTCAAGAAATGGAGTTGGATTGTGGGGACCTGGAATGCTCGACTGTGTTAGATGCAGTGAGGAGCATGGGCGTTTTATTAGCAGAAATGAACACAGATGTGAATACATGTGCCTCCCATATAGAAATCGAGTTTTGATAACAGAAATTCCATTTCAGTGCAGCATCAGCAGTATAGCCTTGCTAGTATACATAGTATATTTCAATGTACTTGTGAGTGAGGTTTGTTCCAAAAGTACATGGACCCAGATGACAGATGTTCTCCATTCTCTGCACGTGGAAGCACAGGCTCTGCTTTTACTCCGTGCAGATGTGACCTGGATGCATATGTCAGTTTCTCTTTGATTACCGTGAAGGACTGACTCATACGGAAGCATTGATGAGCAAATGTACACTCTATTAGAGGGTTTCATAGTGACAGTGTCAGTGCTGTATCAGATCTCAGCTCTACTTTTACTGTCTTGTGCTCTGCCCCTGCCCGTGTGGCTTCTCACAATCAGCATCTGCAACTCGTCTTCAGAGGGCTGCCCTCAGGCTATTGGAGCCCCCTTTCCTCTATAAAAGGGAGCGGGAAGTGCTTAGGAATTTATTCCCCTCCCCTCCTCATCGTTGGCCCATGCTAGTGTGACTATATGAAAGCCCAGCTCTCTTACCTCTGGTTGGGACAACTCTAAGGTGTAACTCACACTCTTGACTTCCCTGATATGATCAGACCGAAGGTCTTGACTGTGATCGAACTTTTGTTTGACTTTTTATCCTTCTCTGTCTTGTTTTCCCCACTCCTTCACTCATCTCCCTTGGGAGCACACCTTAATAAACCCCCTGCACATGGGCTTGGGATCCACTTCTGGGAAACAGTTTTCTAGGGCAGGTGGAAGGAGGAGTTTACTTACGTACATCCTACAGGAAATAACTTCAAAGTCACCTTAGACATCTCAGCTTGCCTACTCTGCTAAGGTATGAAATTTTCCATCTTTCTTTTCTTGTGTACAAAACCTCACTTTATTGATTCATACCTCTCTCCCTGCATCCTCCATTCCTAGTTGCAAATTCTCATCCCTTTATTTTGCAGAACAGCTCTACCTCAGCAATCGTCCAAACCGCCAAGACATGACACTTACAGAACTTTGAAATCAGCAAGACTGTCTCTCCTTAGCAGTTTAGAGACCATCTTTTATCATAAGACCATGCATCTTGGGGTCTTACCCTTACCTAATCTGGGTGACTTACCAACGTATCCACATACCGTGTTCCCTCCGAGAGGAATTATTTTACCAGCTGGGCTAATAACATTTTTACCCTCCCATTTTAAATGTCTGTTTGTTTGCATCCATCCATCACCTGATCCATCCATCCATCCATCCATCCATCTATCCATCCAACTCTGTCTCTATTTATCTGTCTGTCTAAATAGGACAGTATAAACATTTTCTCACTAGTCTGCAACATGTATTTCCTAGGCTTTAGATTTATCCACACTTCAAAAAAGGGGGTCACTGGAATGATTTGAAGATGGAAAAGCTTTTTCGGGGTGGAAGAAGAGCTTTGTAAGCAGGAAAGTGTGGCATGGGCAGAAGGGGCTGACATGGAGTTTCCAAGTTGTTTTATCCCCAGACCCTGCAGCTGAGATCTGTATGGCCTGTTTGTTTTCACCGCCCCAGAAGTTCTGCTCCAAGCAACTTGATCTAAACCTACTGCAGCATGGTTCTAAGACCTTTCATGGGAAGCTGACGGCTGCTGGTGCAAACTAATGAGTATTTTCAGACACAAAGCCTCCAATTGAGATTATGAAGTAATTTATTAGGCTCCTACTGCAGTGAGCACACACCGTTCCTGCTCAGAATGGACTAATTAAAAACTTCCCTACCACGTACAATTTCAACTGTGCTGGAAAAAAAGGAACAATACCTCAGTGGTAATTTTTCATAAAAAGGAATTGATAACAATTTCTAAAAAAAATTAGTAGGAGCCTTATATTGCTTAAATAGACAAAACTATCATCTGTGTGTTTTGGTGTGTAATGCGGAGTGCTATTGTCGGTGCAGAATAGATCTAATTTCCCACCTCTAACTCTGATGTGATGCTTTCCCTGAGTTTAACTGAAACAAAAGTAAGAGTCAGTATTCCTAGTTGTAGAGAACAACTGAGTTGAAAGGCGATTTCATTTTGGGGGTGATGGTAGTCATATAACCCCAACAGCCCTAGATGTTCTGGGCTCAGGAGTCCTTTAATAGCCAAATATCCAACATCTGAGCTACTAGTATTCTACCAAGATAGCCTCTCCAGGGTACCCTGGGAACTTCTCAGGAACCTTACACATTTCAAAATTCACCCAGGTTGTTGCTTGTCACCTTGGCCTGACATCAGGCCTCTAACTGTAGTAACTTTTTATCTGTGTTAAAACTCAGACTGTTATAAATGACCTGGGCACTGTTTTATCCAAACAAGAATGTTAAAACAATTTTTACCAAGCCTCCGGCATCCCCATTCACATTTGCCCACTGCATGACACTGAGATCTCTACAGCCTTATGCAGCCCATTCTGGACCTGTTTGAGAACCACACCTGCATCTTGATGATTCAAAACCAGAAAAGTAACAAAAGTAAAAAGAGGTTTTATGATCCATTTTGAACCATTCAGAAACTTGGGAAGAACTTCCCCTTCTCCATACTGTATCTACTCTTTTCACTTTCAGTTTGGGGAACACTCACTGACTTTTCTTAAGAAACTTGATTGTCTAGGATAAATAGCTAATGTATGCAGGGCTTAATACATAGGTGATGGGTTGACAGGTGCAGCAAACCACCATGGCACACATTTACCTGTGCAACAAACCTGCACATCCTGCACATATATCCCGGAACTTAAAAAATAAAATAAAATTTAAAGAAATAAATGATTTTTAAAATAAAATAAATCATTTAAACAGCAAAAAAAAAAAAAAAAAGGAAAAAGAAAGAAACTTAATTCTCCTTTGCCTGGTGCGTAATAAACTCAGCTTCAATTTGAGACTACATTGGTAGTCTTTGTGTTGATTCAGTGACAGTGGACACTGGTTGCTGTATTAATTACCCAAATCTCAACCAAGATGGGGCTGGTACATTTAAAAAAGCTTTACTGAAGAATGGGGTAACAGGAGGAATGACACAGTCAGGGTGCCGTAAAACTGGACACCACGTGTGTCTTTTCTCTGGTCCTCTGGTCATGCTCTTCCACAGGGAACACCTCCTGGTGCTGGATCCCCTCACAACCAGCCTGAGGCCTTGCAGGGGCTCATTTGCTTCCCTACAATAGGAGTGCTTTTACGAGTTCCTGCCTATCACAGATCCAGAGCCCCACTCCACTAACACCCAGGGGAACACTCCATTTCTCCTCATCTCAGTCTACCGCCAGTCTCCCAGTAGTATAGTAATCCTGGGAATGCCTCTGTATCATCAATAAAGACTACCCTTACGTTCCATGCAGAGCAGTTGAGCCCTGATTGCCTCTAAAAACTTTCCATTGCAATTGAAGATGATAGCCTCATGTTTGCATAAGGGGTCATTAAAGTTTTCCAGACACAAGAAACAATGTTCCCTCAGAGGTGAATCTAAGCCTCCATTTTTAAAGAACTAGAAAAACTGTTGATTTTTTTTTTAAATCCCTCTCCCTCCCTTCTGTCCTCTCTTTTTCTCTTTCTCCCGCCCACCACCCCCGCCCAACACACACACACTTTGGAGTCTAGTTGAGAGCATCTATCTATTTATACCTACAAAGACTCATTTGCTTGTACCATGTGCCAGGCACAGTACCCAGAACAGAGGAGGCAGAGAGAAATAATCCTTGCCCTCAGGAAGCTCATGGTGTAATAGGGGATCCCCAGTGACAATTGGGGGATAAGAACAATAGAAGGCTGGGTGTGGTGGCACACACCTATAATCCCGGAGGATTGCTCCCAGGAGTTTGAGCACCCTGGGCCACATGGTGAGACATCGTCTTTACAAAAAATAAAATTAGCCAGGTGTACTGGTATGTGCCTGTAGTCCCAACTACTAGGGAGGCCAAGGTGGGAGGATTGCTTGAGCCCCAGGAGGTTGAGGCTGAGCTCGTGCCACTGCACTCCAGCCTGGGCAACAGAGCAGGACCCTGTCTCATATAAAAACAAAGCAAAACAAAACAAAATAGAACAATAGAAAATTGGCATATAAGATGCAGAAACAACAAGGAGCAGGTAAGTCAGAAAAGGCTTCCAGGAAGAGGCTGCCTGTGAGTGAGTTTTAAAGCACAAATAAGAATTATTTGAATTATAAGAAGTTATGAGATGGATGAAGTGGGGAAAGATTTCAGGCAGTGGAAACAAAGGCAAAGATATGGCAACAAGAAATAGGATGCTACTAATTACTAGGGTTGGGTAAGCCTAAAGTGCAGGTTCAATGCAGGGGGAGTGGGAGGATCTGAACCCTCTAAGGATGCTGGATTTTATTTCCCAGATGATGAGGAAAACTTGAAGCATTTTCGTAGGGTGGTGGTGACACGATCAGAGTCGTGTTTTAGATCCCACGGACAGAACCTCCACTTCTGGTTGGAGGCTGTTAAACTGCAGGCGAGGATACCAATCAGAAAAATAGTCCAAGTGAGAGGCGCGGAGGCCTCAGTGGTGGCTGCAGGAAAGAAAGGGAAAAAAGAGTTGTGAGGACTCTTTGAGAGGTTCAATCAGTGGGATTTGTTCTCTGATTTAATGTGGAGGGTGAAGGAAAAGGAATCCAATGGGACAGCAGTGTTTCTGATGGGCGGTGCCACCAGCTAAAACCTGGAGCCCATGGAGGGAAGCAGGTGATTTGGGAGGGAAAGCGGTGGAGGAGAGGGGTGGAGAAGGGGGGGTGGGAGCTTTGCCAAACGATGAATTCTGGTTTGGGAATGTCATGAATCTAATTTCTTGCCTGACTTCTGAAGATGACTGGTTAGTAGTTGCACATATAGGTATGAAATTCAGCAGTCATGTATGGACTGATGATAGAGACTTTAGGGGCTAATTATAATCATTAAAGGGTATTTTACATTCCAAGGAGGAGTGTAGAGTGAGAAGAGAAAGGATAAAGGGCTGACTATAGAATCCTGAGATATGACACCTTCATTTTTATAATTTTTACAGCATCTCTGCCTTTATATTATTTATTTAGAATATTTGGCAAATAATACAAGGGAAAGCTAATCCATCTGTAAACTAGACGCTTTTCAGATAAAGCAAATCAGCTTGAGATACCAGACAAGCACATATCAGTGTTCAGTAAATATTTTTTGAATGCATCAGGATGAATACTCATTTTGCTCAGTTTTATAGGAAGCACCCTGAGAGGAGGGCAGCACCTGTGCTTTAATTTGCAGGAGCATGAATAGTACCAATGAGTGATGGCCACAGTGCTGCGTAAGAAGGTTAGAAGACAGAAGCAGCATGTACTCTAACCATAGCAACGAGACGGGGGCAGCAGCATCCAGAAAGTTATAGATCTCTTCTGAAGAATGTTTGCTGCCATGAACCCTTACAACTAAGCAGCAACAATATCCCTTTTTTCTGAATAGTAGAAGAATGACTTTGGTGATATGAAGGAAGGGGCGTTGGTGGCAGTAAAGTATGCATTGATTTCTTTATAAGATAAAGAACAAGGCACAGCCACTCTAGACCGTTTGACAAAGACCAAATCCTACTCTTCCACAGATTTCTGTGTATTCACCCAAATTATCTCCAGTGCCTCTGGTGTCCCACAGAAACACCCATGTTTTGTAGTTTAACCTAAGCTGCGATCTAGAATTCACACCAAAACCCACAGTATGAAATAGAACACTTCCATTCACAGGGACTCGATGGTCATGAAAATGTGTAGTGAGCAGCTAGCTCAGCTCCAGAGGCTGTGAAAACCAAAGAGTTGGAGAGATCCTTCTGACAGCCTTGCCAGGCAAGATTGGAGCTTTCCAGCCTCTGTAAAACACAATCTGGCATCCCACACTCTCACAGCATTTCTGATTTAAAGTTGGCTTCATTGCTAGAGGCTGGTATTGCCAAACATCATTTCTGTCCCAGAGCTCAGCTGCCGGACAGAAATGACCCTTTACAAAAAGAGCTGTCTCAGCAAGTAGTTCAGATGAGGGAGTGACATAGTGAAGTTCCAGTTGCTTTGTGCAACTTGCAAGCACTCCCCCAGGCAGTGTGTGACATGTAACATCCATCTCATTTTAACCTTTGGTTGTCTGTGGACCTCTGATTGCCCATGGGATAGTCAGAAACACAAAGGTAAATGCCACGTGGCTGAGATTTTGGGGGTGGATTACTGAGCATGCTCTAGGCACGCTAGCCTGTAGAGTTTTGTAGACTCCACTTCTGGTTGGACAAATTTTAGTGGTCACAACCTCTTAGGCTGGCAGTTCTTAACCAGGTGACTACTTGTTTTGTTAAAAGTACTGCGTTATCAATAGAGTATGAAAGTTTGTTAGAGGTTTCCATTTTTTCTTTGTCAATTAGGGCAGATTCAAAATTACCCTACAATAATGTCCCCCACATGCATATTCCGGCAGGTTTTTTGAGTGCAGCAGAAAGAGGTCTTGCCTTACAGTTACTCTAATAGAAATTGAACATAGTTCACAAACTATTATCTGTATGTGGTTGTTACAGGAAAGGGTCCAGATCCAGACCCCAAGAGACAGTTCTTGGATTTTGTGCAAGAACTTGGTGCAAGTCCATGGAATAAAGTGAAAGCAAGTTTATTGAGAAAGTAAAGGAATAAAAGAATGGCTACTCCATAGACAGAGCAGCCCAAAGGCTGCTGGTTATCCATTTTTATGGTTATTTCTTGATGATATGCTAAACAAGGGGTGGATTATTCATGCCTCCCCATTTTATTTTACTGTTTTATTTTTTATTTTTTTATCATATTTTGTTTTAGGGTACATGTGCACATTGTGCAGGTTAGTTACATATGTATACATGTGCCATGCTGGTGCGCTGCACCCACTAACTTGTCATCTAGCATTAGGTATATCTCCCAGTGCTATCCCTCCCCCCTCCCCCCACCCCACCACAGTCCCTGGAATGTGATATTCCCCTTCCTGTGTCCATGTGATCTCATTGTTCAATTCCCACCTATGAGTGAGAATATGCGGTGTTTGGTTTTTTGTTCTTGCGATAGTTTACTGAGAATGATGATTTCCAATTTCATCCATGTCCCTACAAAGGACATGAACTCATCATTTTTTATGGCTGCATAGTATTCCATGGTGTATATGTGCCACATTTTCTTAATCCAGTCTATCGTTGTTGGACATTTGGCTTGGTTCCAAGTCTTTGCTATTGTGAATAGTGCTGCAATAAACATACGTGTGCATGTGTCTTTATAGGAGCATGACTTATAGCCCTTTGGGTATATACCCAGTAATGGGATGGCTGGGTCAAATGGTATTTCTAGTTCTAGATCCCTGAGGAATCGCCACACTGACTTCCACAATGGTTGAACTAGTTTACAGTCCCACCAACAGTGTAAAAGTGTTCCTATTTCTCCACATCCTCTCCAGCACCTGTTGTTTCCTGACTTTTTAATGATTGCCATTCTAACTGGTGTGAGATGATATCTCATTGTGGTTTTGATTTGCATTTCTCTGATGGCCAGTGATGATGAGCATTTTTTCATGTGTTTTTTGGCTGCATAAAAGTCTTCTTTTGAGAAGTGTCTGTTCATGTCCTTCGCCCACTTTTTGATGGGGTTGTTTGTTTTTTTCTTGTAAATTTGTTTGAGTTCATTATAGATTCTGGATATTAGCCCTTTGTCAGATGAGTAGGTTGCGAAAATTTTCTCCCATTCTGTAGGTTGCCTGTTCACTCTGATGGTAGTTTCTTTTGCTGTGCAGAAGCTCTTTAGTTTAATTAGATCTCATTTGTCAATTTTGTCTTTTGTTGCCATTGCTTTTGGTGTTTTGGACATGAAGTCCTTGCCCATGCCTATGTCCTGAATGGTAATGCCTAGGTTTTCTTCTAGGGTTTTTATGGTTTTAGGTCTAACGTTTAAGTCTTTAATCCATCTTGAATTGATTTTTATATGAGGTGTAAGGAAGGCATCCAGTTTCAGCTTTCTACATATGGCTAGCCAGTTTTCCCAGCACATTTATTAAATAGGGAATCCTTTCCCCATTGCTTGTTTTTCTCAGGTTTGTCAAAGATCAGATAGTTGTAGATATGCGGCGTTATTTCTGAGGGCTCTGTTCTGTTGCATTGATCTATATCTCTGTTTTGGTACCAGTACCATGCTGTTTTGGTTACTGTAGCCTTGTAGTATAGTTTGAAGTCAGGTAGTGTGATGCCTCCAGCTTTGTTCTTTTGGCTTAGGATTGCCATGGCGATGCGGGCTCTTTTTTGGTCCCATATGAACTTTAAAGTAGTTTTTTCCAATTCTGTGAAGAAAGTCATTGGTAGCTTTATGGGGATAGCACTGAATCTGTAAATTATCTTGGGCAGTATGGCCATTTTCACGATATTGATTCTTCCTACCCATGAGCATGGAATGTTCTTCCATTTGTTTGTATCCTCTTTTATTTCCTTGAGCAGTGGTTTGTAGTTCTCCTTGAAGAGGTCCTTCACATCCCTTGTAAGTTGGATTCCTAGGTATTTTACTCTCTTTGAAGCAATTGTGAATGGGAGTTCACTCATGATTTTGCTCTCTGTTTGTCCGTTGTTGGTGTATAAGAATGTTTGTGATTTTTGTACATTGATTTTGTATCCTGAGACTTTGCTGAAGTTGCTTATCAGCTTAAGGAGATTTTGGGCTGAGACAATGGGGCTTTCTAGATATACAATCATGTCGTCTGCAAACAGGGACAATTTGACTTCCTCTTTTCCTAATTGAATACCCTTTATTTCCTTCTCCTGCCTGATTGCCCTGGCCAGAAACTCCAGCACTATATTGAATAGGAGTGGTGAGAGAGGGCATCCCTGTCTTGTGCCAGTTTTCAAAAGAAATGCTTCCAGTTTTTGCCCATTCAGTATGATATTGGCTGTGGGTTTGTCATATATAGCTCTTATTATTTTGAAATACGTCCCATGAATACCTAATTTATTGAGAGTTTTTAGCATGAAGGGTTGTTGAATTTTGTCAAAGGCTTTTTCTGCATCTATTGAGATAATCATGTGGTTTTTGTCTTTGGCTCTGTTTATATGCTGGATTACATTTATTGATTTCCGTATATTGAACCAGCCTTGCATCCCAGGGATGAAGCCCACTTGATCATGGTGGATAAGCTTTTTGATGTGCTGCTGGATTCGTTTTGCCAGTATTTTATTGAGGATTTTTGCATCAATGTTCATCAAGGATATTGGTCTAAAATTCTCTTTTTTTGTTGTGTCTCTGCCCGGCTTTGGTATCAGAATGATGCTGGCCTCATAAAATCAGTTAGGGAGGATTCCCTCTTTTTCTGTTGATTGGAATAGTTTCAGAAGGAATGGTACCAGCTCCTCCTTGTACCTCTGGTAGAATTCGGCTGTGAATCCATCTGGTCCTGGACTCTTTTTGGTTGGTAAACTATTGATTATTGTCACAATTTCAGAGCCTGTTATTGGTCTATTCAGAGATTCAACTTCTTCCTGGTTTAGTCTTGGGAGAGTGTATGTGTCGAGGAATTTATCCATTTCTTCTAGATTTTCTAGTTTATTTGCGTAGAGGTGTTTGTAGTATTCTCTGATGGTAGTTTGTATTTCTGTGGGATCGGTGGTGATATCCCCTTTATCATTTTTTATTGTGTCTATTTGATTCTTCTCTCTTTTTTTCTTTATTAGTCTTGCTAGCGGTCTATCAATTTTGTTGATCCTTTCAAAAACCCAGCTCCTGGATTCATTAATTTTTTGAAGGGTTTTTTGTGTCTCTATTTCCTTCAGTTCTGCTCTGATTTTAGTTATTTCTTGCCTTCTGCTAGCTTTTGAATGTGTTTGCTCTTGCTTTTCTAGTTCTTTTAATTGTGATGTTAGGTGTCAATTTTGGATCTTTCCTGCTTTCTCTTGTGGGCATTTAGTGCTATAAATTTCCCTCTACACACTGCTTTGAATGCGTCCCAGAGATTCTGGTGTGTTGTGTCTTTGTTCTCATTGGTTTCAAAGAACATCTTTATTTCTGCCTTCACTTCGTTATGTATCCAGTTTGTTCAGTTTCCATGTAGTTGAGCGGTTTTGAGTGAGATTCTTAATCCTGAGTTCTAGTTTGATTGCACTGTGGTCTGAGAGATAGTTTGTTATAATCTCTGTTCTTTTACATTTGCTGAGGAGAGCTTTACTTCCAAGTATGTGGTCAATTTTGGAATAGGTGTGGTGTGGTGCTGAAAAGAATGTATATTCTGTTGATTTGGGGTGGAGAGTTCTGTAGATGTCTATTAGGTCTGCTTGGTTTAGAGCTGAGTTCAATTCCTGGGTATCCTTGTTGACTTTCTGTCTCGTTGATCTGCCTAATGTTGACAGTGGGGTGTTAAAGTCTCCCATTATTAATGTGTGGGAGTCTAAGTCCCTTTGTAGGTCACTCAGGACTTGCTTTATGAATCTGGGTGCTCCTGTATTGGGTGCATATATATTTAGGATAGTTAGCTCTTCTTGTTGAATTGATCCCTTAACCATTATGTAATGGCCTTCTTTGTCTCTTTTGATCTTTGTTGGTTTAAAGTCTGTTTTGTCAGAGACTAGGATTGCAACCCCTGCCTTTTTTTGTTTTCCATTTGCTTGGTAGATCTTCCTCCATCCTTTTATTTTGAGCCTATGTGTGTCTCTGCACGTGAGATGGGGTTCCTGAATACAGCACACTGATGGGTCTTGACTCTTTATCCAATTTGCCACTCTGTGTCTTTTAATTGGAGCATTTAGTCCATTTACATTTAAAGTTAATATTGTTATGTGTGAATTTGATCCTGTCATGATGATGTTAGCTGGTGATTTTGCTCGTTAGTTGATGCAGTTTCTTCCTAGTCTCGATGGTCTTTACATTTTGGCATGATTTTGCAGTGGCTGGTACCAGTTGTTCCTTTCCATGTTTAGCACTTCCTTCAGGAGCTCTTTTAGGGCAGGCCTGGTGGTGACAAAATCTCTCAGCATTTGCTTGTCTGTAAAGGATTTTATTTCTCCTTCGCTTATGAAGCTTAGTTTGGCTGGATATGAAATTCTGGGTTGAAAATTCTTGTCTTTAAGAATGTTGAATATCGGCCCCCACTCTCTTCTGGCTTGTAGGATTTCTGCCGAGAGATCCGCAGTTAGTCTGATGGGCTTCCCTTTGAGGGTAACCCGACCTTTCTCTCTGGCTGCCCTTAACATTTTTTCCTTCATTTCAACTTTGGTGAATCTGACAATTATGTGTCTTGGAGTTGCTCTTCTCGAGGAGTATCTTTGTGGCGTTCTCTGTATTTCCTGAATCTCAACATTGGCCTGCCTTGGTAGATTGGGGAAGTTCTCCTGGATAATATCCTGCAGAGTGTTTTCCAACTTGGTTCCATTCTCTCCATCACTTTCAGGTACACTAATCAGACATAGATTTGGTCTTTTCACATAGTCCCATATTTCTTGGAGGCTTTGCTCATTTCTTTTTATTCTTTTTTCTCTAAACTTCCCTTCTCGCTTCATTTCATTCATTTCATCTTCCATCGCTGATACCCTTTCTTCCAGTTGATCGCATCGGCTCCTGAGGCTTCTGCATTCTTCACGTAGTTCTCGAGCCTTGGTTTTCAGCTCCATCAGCTCCTTTAAGCACTTCTCTGTATTGGTTATTCTAGTTATACATTCTTCTAAATTTTTTTTCAAAGTTTTCAACTTCTTTGCCTTTGGTTTGAATGTCCTCCCGTAGCTCAGAGTAATTTGATCGTCTGAAGCCGCCTTCTCTCAGCTTGTCAAAGTCATTCTCCATCCAGCTTTGTTCCATTGCTGGTGAGGAACTGTGTTCCTTTGGAGGAGGAGAGGCGCTCTGCGTTTTAGAGTTTCCAGTTTTTCTATTCTGTTTTTTCCCCATCTTTGTGGTTTTATCTACTTTTGGTCTTTGATGATGGTGATGTACAGATGGGTTTTTGGTGTGGATGTCCTTTCTGTTTGTTAGTTTTCCTTCTAACAGACAGGACCCTCAGCTGCAGGTCTGTTGGAATACCCTGCCATGTGAGGTGTCAGTGTGCCCCTGCTGGGGGGTGCCTCCCAGTTAGGCTGCTCAGGGGTGAGGGATCAGGGACCCACTTGAGGAGGCAGTCTGCCCGTTCTCAGATCTCCAGCTGCATGCTGGGAGAACTACTGCTCTCTTCAAAGCTGTCAGACAGGGACGTTTAAGTCTGCAGAGGTTACTGCTGTCTTTTTGTTTGTCTGTGCCCTGCCCCCAGAGGTGGAGCCTACAGAGGCAGGCAGGCCTCCTTGAGCTGTGGTGGGCTCCACCCAGTTCGAGCTTCCCGGCTGCTTTGTTTACCTAAGCGAGCCTGGGCAATGGCGGGCGCCCCTCCCCCAGCCTCGCTGCCGCCTTGCAGTTTGATCTCAGACTGCTGTGCTAGCAGTCAGCGAGACTCCTTGGGCGTAGGACCCTCCGAGCCAGGTGCGGGATATAATCTCTTGGTGCACCGTTTTTTAAGCCGGTCCGAAAAGCACAATATTCGGGTGGGAGTGACCCAATTTTCCAGGTGCGGCCGTCACCCCTTTCTTTGACTCGGAAAGGGAGCTCCCTGACCCCTTGCGCTTCCCAAGTGAGGCAATGCCTCGCCCTGCTTCGGCTCACGAACCGTGCACGCACCCACTGACCTGCGCCCACTGTCTGGCACTCCCTAGTAAGATGAACCCGGTACCTCAGATGGAAATGCAGAAATCATCTGTCTTCTGCGTCGCTCACGCTGGGAGCTGTAGACCGGAGCTCTTCCTATTCGGCCATCTTGGCTCCTCCCATGCCTCCCCATTTTAGACCATAGAGGGTAACTTCCTGATGTTGCCATGGCATCTGTAAACTGTCATGGCACTGGTGAGAGTGTGGCAGTGAAAACAACCAGAGGTCACTCTCGTCGCCTTCTTGTCGCCATCTTGGTTTGGGTGGATTTTGGCTGGCTCCTTTACTGCAAACTGTTTTATCAGCAAGGTCTTTATGACCTGTATCTTGTGCTGACCTCCTATCTCATCCTGTGGCTTACAATGCCTTCATCATCTAGGAATGCAGCCCAGTAGGTTTCAGCCTCATTTTACCCGGCTCCTCTTCAAGATGCTGTTGCTCTGGTTCACACGCCTCTGACACGGTCTGTTAGCAATGTGTGGAGCACTTAAACTGCATCCATCTTGTGTTGCTTCAGAATGTTTGAGAGACTAAGTTTAAACCCACTTCAACATCTCAATGTGTGCTTGGATGCCTCCAGCAGTGGGCAACTCACTGTCTTCCCAGATGGCTCATTCTATTATTAGATATCTCTCATGGGCCAGCTGTTTTCAGGTCCTATTAGAACTGGTTTTGTCCCTTTGGGATATGTAGAGTAATTCCAAGTCTACTCCTAGGTGATGTCTTCAGTATCTTAGAAGGCAAATTTCTTGTCTCGCTTTGAGTATTTTGCCAGGCATAGGTTTGCCTGTTCTATGGAATGTGCTTCATGTGACGACCTGGTTTTAAATTCCCACATACCCTGTTTGCTCCACCGGAGTGCAGGTCAGTTTGGCAACATCTCTCTTCGTGAGTATTGTGCAGAATTGAGCATTCTACTTCCCCACAATTCTGTAATTTCTTATCTTACTCAAGTAAGGGAGGACAAACACCCTCTCCCCTAAGAAATAGCTTGAATCCTGACTATAAAAAATGCATTAATTCTGTGATTTCACTTTTGAGTAAGAGGAGCACTAATGGGAAGCTGAAACCTCCCACCTGCAACCCTTCATACTCACCTTTCAGGGATGCATTCCCAGCCCATCTTCTTCCCTCTCACCCTCGCTTACCCCTTCTCCTCCAAGCCAGAACTACCGGCCCAGGGATTTGGGCCTGATGATCTCCAAGGCATATTCAATCAAAAGCTCAGACTATCTCTAAAGCGAGAGGTTAGAGCTTATGTTTAAACTCCAAGAAGTATGAACCTCTTGCTAACAGGGTTCACTTGTGATAACATACAGTTTTTCTCAAATAGGGGAGGTGCTGTCTTCCTAAGGGGACCTTTGAAAGTGTGTGCAAGCATTTTAGTTGTTACAATGCTGGGAAGCAAGTGTCACTGGTATTAGAGCCATGAATGTAATGAAACATTTGTAATGCTAGGGACAGTCCCACACAAGGAAGAAGTGTCCCACTCCGAATTCCAGCAGTGCCCTAAGCACTTCCCCTATTATTAATAATTAATTGCTATTATAATTAAGTGCTAATAATTATTATCAGGCAAGCACTGATGGGAGGAGCATAGGACTGAGTCAGAAGACCAGGCTTTAGTCCTGCGTTTGCTCTTATTGGTATCATTTTCCTCACTTGTAAAATGAATGGAAACACAAAGCTAGCCTGAGGACTAATTGTCAAGCATTTTATTGGGTTTTTTTTTCTTTTGGTGGTTTTTTTTTTTTTTTGAGACAAGTTCTATTTGGCTGGTGCAAAAGTAATTGCAGTTCTGGCAATTAAAAGTAGTTGCAAAAACCGCAATTACTTTTGCACCAGCCTAATAGCTCTGTCTCCCAGACTGGAGTGCAGTGGCATGATTATAGCTCATTGTAACCTCAAACTACTGGGCTCAAGTGATCCTCTCATCTCCACCTCCTGAATAGCTGGGACTATAGATGCATGCTACCATATCTAAGTAAAAAAATGTATTGTATAGAGACAGGGTCTTGCTATGTTGCCCAGTCTAGTCTTAAACTCCTGGGCTCAAGAGATCCTCCTGCCTCGGTCTCCCAAAGCACTGGGATTACGGGCATGAACCACTGTACATGGCCAATTACCAGACTGTTTTTAATGACACTTTGCTACACAGCCCATGCAGTTTGGGAGGGCCTGACCCCACACCAGCTTTGGAGCTGGGCAAGGTTTGGGGACATGGCCTAGGGTTACAATACTCTAATTCCATTCCCATGGCTCATTGGTAGGCTCATGATCATCACCCAGGCCAGGGATAATAAGGCCCTGGTCTTTCGTTAGAACCTGTCAGAGAAGAGAAGCTCTATTTTCAGGTCAATTCGGGCCTTGGAAACTATGGGCCTGAAGCTGTGAGTGGCTGCCATGTGGAGCCTGAGAGTGATGTCGGCCCAGCCAAGGCAAAGCCAAGAGATTAGAGAAGTGGCTGGTGGACATTATTCAGGCTGCTGGATAAAGCTAAACCTGGGCTTTAAAGATATTCCTGGGCATTTTTATCAGAGGCATTTGAACCAGAGACCCCTTTCTGGTAACATTTAAATTATGTGAGAAAAACATTTCCTTTTTTAGTTAAGCCAGAGTGACTCTTTTACAACTCAAACAACCGTGACTTACCTGACTTTCATCTCTCTGCCTTGAATTGAGGTTGCCTGTGTCTCCCAACTTGACTCCAAGCTCCTTGAAGACAGTCACTTTTTAATTCTCCCAGCCTTCCTAACACTAGATGTTAAGTGTAGTACAGATAAGCACCCTCAAATATTTGATACATGAATAAGATGAAATAAAATGATATATATGAAAGAATTTTGTTGACTGTCAATTACCTTACAAATATAGCTACCAAAGTTCTCATGAACATTTTCTCCTGAAATCTTTGTCTCGTGAGTATCTTTGTCTCGTGAGTCGTTCTGAGCAATAAGATTAGTACGTAAGCAAAGGCATCACTCAGTTTGGTTTTCACATTTGTCCCCATTCCAGCTTTGTACCGAAGCAATCTGTCCTTGCTATTGTAAGCCTAATAGTCTCCCTCATCAGACTGAGTTTCTGCAGTGAGAAGACCTTTTCTGTTTCATCCCTGTGTCCTCATGCAGGTGGTAGGTGTTTAGTTGTTTGCATGTGCTCCTCCCTCCTTCTCAGCTCTCTCAAAAGCAGCCTTTTATTGCTATGGGCTTTTGAGGCTAGATGAATTGCCAGGAAAGTGTATCCCTGTGGTGTAATGGGCCTTCTCAGGGACTTAAGGCATGTCTTTAATTTTCATTCATTCAGAAGACAATCAGAGTACCTACTATGTCCCAGGCATTGTCTCGGAGGATTCATGCTCTGGTGACACTCACAAATATATAGGCAATTATCATGCATCTGGTAAGCACCTGGATGGGGGAAATGTAGGGTGTTCCTAGGAAGTATACAGGAGGTTCCCAGATCGCAGAGAATCAGGGAAATCTTCTTGGAAGAAGTGGCATTAAAGCTGAGGCCAGTCACAAGCAGTGAGTAGGAATTAGCCATGCAATGAGCAGGGCAGAGGGCCTCCCAGTGAAAGGGAATGGCAAGTGTCAGTGAGTCAGCGGCGCCAGGGAGCAGGTGTGTTTGGGGGAACTGGGCATGGCGTGGACTGGCAGCAGCGTGCTTGTAGGTGTGGGGCCACTTTAATGGCTTTGCTTCTGTTGCCTCTTGATCAGGGTCTCCTTTCCATAGTCCCACAAGGCTGTGCCCTTCTTTGCTTTATTTGGTAGTTTTCTTGGCTATCCCTATTAACTTCAAAGATATCAGGATGTGAGGCTATGACATGCCCAGCTCAGCTTGACCAAGTGCCTGACTGGAGTCCTTCCCCTCATCCCCTTTGGAATTCAGTGACTGACTTCTCTGGAGGCACTCCAAGCCTCGGGCAGAGTATAGACGAACCTAACTAGCTCAGGATTGAGTCCCTGCTGATTGCAGCCACCTCAGAGATGATTCAGGGTATTTTAATGAAAAAGATAGCAAGGACTTAGGGGAAGTAAGGTCTGGCAGTGGGAGGACTAGTGATAAGGAGTGGCATAGGGCCAGGATTAAGGGGGGCTGGACCTGCCTCTGGCTCATTTACTTGGTGATAGATTCTCCTCTCCACACTGGAAAACTTTGGAAACCTTGTCAGTTAGGTGGGAAGGGGCTTGGCAGCCCAGGGACTTACATAATTTATATTCCTCCAGTGATGAGCATTGAAACAAAGCCTCGCAGCAACATGCAATCACCACGCTTGGCTCTTCCATGACCACTCCTTCTCCCCTCCTCCACTTGGGGGTGCCACTCCTGAGTCCTGTTTGGGCTGAAACTGAGGACCTATGGCCATGCCTTTAAATCTTTCTGCCAGGATTTTCCTCATGGCAGAGGACTCTGGAGGGAACCCTGGGGGTCTGGGAGCAAAGCCAGAAGAAGTAGCTTCCATTAGTATGATGAGTTCCTCAACATTTTTCATTTTATCTTTAAATTTTGTGCAAGTTTGTATTCCCCCACAATGCATTCATGTGTAATTTAATTAAAAAAACAATAACGATGGTGTTTTAAATTATTTACCATTGAATAAAATCAACATTTTAGAGGATGTGCTGTTTAACCATGAGACTTCATGTGACTCTGGCATGCTGCCTTGTATATAATCCCCACTTTCAGAAACCGGGGCTTTTAGATTATACAGATCTGGGTTACTAGATATGTAACCTTGAGAGGATCACATCACTTTTCCAAATCTCAGCTTTTTCATCTAAAATATGAGACCAGTGAAACTTACATGTCAGAGTTAGTGTGAGGTTTAAGTAAAAAAAGATCTATGAAGGGCTGGCCCATAGTAGGTTTTCAAGATATGTGAACAGTTCTGCTCTTATTAGGAAGAGCTCTGCCTGCTTTGCATTTCTAGAATTCTGTGATTCTGACTCAGCTGACTGAGAAGGTGACCCCATGGGACATTTGCCACCAGAGGGGCTTTGAGGAAAAATAGTATATGTCACTACTAGATGACACAGCTGATGACATTAGCAATAGAAAATAAACTCTGTGGCGTGGAGAGATGTGATGTGGTTTTAGGGCTTATTGTAGTCTGTTTTCCCATTTCTAGGTCTTCCAAATTATGAAAATTGGCAATTGGGCGATGTTCACAGTGTCCCGTCTACTGCCTGGGGCCCCTGTCATGCAGCAGCTGCAGGTGAGTCACTGGCTGGGAGAGAAAGTGAGAACAGCTTTCCGTGCGGAGTTGCCTGACAGCCATTCCCTGCTCAGGGCTCACCCTGCAGTCCTGTGGCTGAACAAGATTTAGGCCATGGTCACTACCTAGACTGGTGAGTATATCTCAGGGCCTGTAATAGCCACCTTAGGAAATTTACTTCTAAATTCCAAAAGTGATAAGTGGGATGCCCAGATCACAATTAAAAAGGAAATGTTACATATGATTCCAAGCATTAATATAAGAACTCTTAACTTTAATTTTGAATATCCAACCACTTTCTGGGGAAAAAGGCTTTGTAATCAAATGACAGTTATTTCTCTGGCTCACCTTGCTCAGAGTCTAGTGGGAGCTGGAGGGCAGGCGAACACATAAGCGAGGAGGAAGGTGACAAAAACCCAGGAGTACAGGGTCATAGGTGAAGGAACTGTGTTGTCTGGAGGCATCAGAAAAGCTGGACAGTGGAGGTGATGTCTGACCTTGAGATTCAGATTCAGGAGACAGGGGTGGGGCTTAGGCATGAATGTTAAAAAAACAAAAAACAAAAAAACCCCACAAAAACGCCTCCAGTGATTCTGATGCACAGCCAGGGTTGAATCTTCTGGGAGATTTTTGTGCTTCTGTTTAGCAGCATTTCCCCTCTGGGCTGTGAGCCCCTCAGTGGTAGGGTTTCCCCTGTTGGCCCAGCATCATTTCTGCAGTCATCTGGGGCCTGACCCCAAGTCCAGGGCTCCTCCCTCTCCCAGGGCAGCTGCCCTGCTGGGATGAGGAACCTGACACTGCAGAATCTGCAGGAACTCAATGTCATGTGTTCTAAAAGTTAAAAACTCAACGAATACAGATATCTGTAGTAGTGCCCTACTCTCATCCTTCTTCTGAAGGAATGCTATGACTCCTTTTCTTTCTAAATGTGTATCTAATCTCTTTTCAGATATATGTTTTATCTTTATTTGCTGTTATTTCCCTGGTTTTCAAAATATGCCCTTGAGTCACTTTTCAAATGCAATGTCTAAGTTTGTTTATTTGTGAATATAAGGGCCTCAACCCTGTGGATCTGAAAACAATTTCTGGGAAGGAGACAGTGAGTGGATTTGATATAGAATCCAGAAAACTGGTACATTCAGAACTGAACTGAGGTGAAGCAGTCACCCAGCTTCAGGCTGATATGTCTCTCATTTCTTTAGGCATGCAGTTGAAATATATGAAAAAAACCATGTTTCAGCAATTTCTGAATCTGTAGTCTTATTTCTACCATGACTGCTCTGCTTCTAAGTAGGAACCCCCCAGCATTTGATGGATGAATGAATGAGGGAATAAATGAAGTGCAACATAGCCCTGAATGGCTATACACTTTAGTCTGTGCCAGGGAAAGTACTAAGCCCACCTCTGGATAGAAGCGTTGTCTGTGGGAGGCTGGTGTCAACATCAAACAGCAGAGGGAGCTTTTCTCCTTGGTCCCTGGAGGAGAGGTGCTCTAGGTGGAGAAGAGAGAAAGAGGGGGCATTCCAGGGGAGCACGTGTAGATTTGCCTCCTCTGAGATGTAGGGTGGGCTCTATGCTAGCTGACCTCAGTGAAACAAGTGGACAGAGTACTTAAAGGAGGAGGAGGGGCCAAGTGTTGTTCTTGAAAAGGACCCACCCTGGAATGGTTGGCCGAGTTCCTGGCAGGCTGGAGAGCTGGGTGCCAGTGTCCCTCTAGGTGGAAGCCCAGGAAGGTGCCCTTCCTCCTCAAGTGCCGTGAGTATTGCTGACCCAGCCCAGCCGGACCCCAGTGTCTATATGCTGCCTACAGTGTGTGCGTGTCCACCTCTACTGTGTAGACTAAACTTCTTGTTTGTGTGTGGTTGTTTTAAATCCTGTGCCATGGTTTGGGAAAAGGGCCACTGGGTCTCATTGCAGAAGGCTGGCTGGTCGTCCTGGTACATCCCTGCAGGGGAGAACATGAGCAGTTAATTGGATAAATAAGAACGGTGATCATACCTATACCTTGAGTGGGCTGAATGGTTCATACCAACCGGAACCGACAAGAGAATCTGATCCTCTTGATTATGTATCGGAACACTCTCTCCCTTTTGGGATGTTTACTTGGGAAGATGAATGATACAGAGGCAGTTACTTGGTAAGCTCAAGACTAGAACAAAGGGACTCATCTATATGAGCCCTTAATGGCTGCTGTCACCAACTTATCTTTATCTTCGTTTTGGGGTTTACCTGCCTTACTGGTCGTATATTCAGGTACACAAGTTGGGGTACCCTCTGCCCTGGACATGGTGGGAGCTGCTGCCCGCTCTTCTCTTGCTGAACTTCCATCTCTTAATGCTGCTGGGACTCTCTATTTCTAGCAACACCTGCATCTTTGGACTTAAAGATTTAATTCAATTACTTAGGCATCTGAGTTTCCTGGTTGCAGTCTCTGAGGTTATGTCCAGGTCCCTTTGATTGGAGTTTGGCTGATCCCAGACAGTATTTTGGGCCATTTTTACTGATGATCTTACCCCTTTCCAAATCTGAGTTTTGAGGAAACTTACAGATAACACGCTGTGCCACCCACACCCTGTCTATCAGGTACCTCTTCTGTACCACCAGAGCCTCTTAGCCCCATCTGTCTAGGACCTTTGCCCATTTGTTCTGCTCGAGCTGCTAATTGGTGACCAATTTTGTGTGAGCTGCAACTGATCTCAGGTGTGACAACCTGGCAGTGCCCTGCCCCATGCCTAGGAAAGTGGTGTTTCCTTGTTCATCCCAAGGCATGTGACACCAGGGACCTGCTTGGAGACCATGTAAAGACCCAGGAAATATAGAGTGTTAATGTCCTGTGAAGAAAGCTTGACTACAGGGAGTTAAAAGCAGATAGATAAATCCTCTTCACTTCTACCCTCTGTACAAACTGACCTGAGATGCAAGTGAACTCACAGCCTTTCAGAATCGGTCCTGCAAGATGAAACAATCAGTGGCAAGTGATCCCAAGCAGGGCCCTGCTTAGTAATGCACTCTAAGGTTTGCTCTTGCTCCTGCTTCCCTGCAATAAACTCCATAGTTTAGTATTAGCACGTTAGCCTTTTCCTCAGGCTCTGTTTCCTGAGGAACCCACGCCAAGACACCCAGTGTTAAGAATGCTTGCCACATCTATGTGTAGAAGTATGCATTTGTTATCTATTGCTGTGTAACAAATTATCCCAAAATTTAGTGTCTTAAAACAACAAACATTTGTTATTTCAGTATCTATGGGTCAAGAATTAAGGAGCAGTTTCGCTGGGAGGTTCTGGCTAAGGGAGTCTCCTGCAGTTGCAGTCAGGCTAGCTGCAGGGTTGCCATCATCTGGAGGCTTTGCTGGGGCTGGACAATCTGCTTTGGAGATGACCACTCACATGACTGTTGGCAGAAGACCTCAGTTCCTTCCCATGAGGGCTCTCCATAGGCTGTTTCAGTGTTCCCACAATCTGGTAGTTGTGAGTCACTTTACCTAGAGCAAACAATTCAGGAGAGAGCAAGAGAAGTTGCAGCACCATTTATTACTTGCACGCTATCACAGAACCTTTTTTCTCAATTAACTAGAAGCAAGTAGCTTGTTCCCACCCACACTCAAAGGGAGGGGAATTAGACTCCACCTCTTGAAGAGAGGAGTTTCAAAAATTTGTGAACTTATTTTAAAACTAGCACAAAGTGTAAAAGGAATTGCTGCCTGACTCAATAAAACAGAATTTCCCGATGTACCAAATGCAAAGCCATGTGCTTTCATAAAAGCAATAATCTGGGTGCATGTGCAGAAGTAGTCGACAAGAAAGTGATGGTTTTAGAAGGCTTTAGTTATTATACGAGTAGAGAGAAGAGTATTTGTGCTTTTGAGGTCAGGGAAGATTTGATAGAGAGGTGGCATTTCAACCAGCTGCTCACTGATTCTGCTGCAGAACCAAGGCTGAGAACTCTACAAATACAATAAGACTGCAGTAAAAGGATCAATTCATTTTCATATCTGGAAATCATGAGAGGCTTCATGGAGGAGATAATATTTGAGCTGAGCTTGAAAAATGAGCAGAATTTTGATAGAGTACATCTCTGACTGAGGGAAGAGCATAAGCAAGGATCCCCAGTGGTAAGATGTTAATTGTTATAATAATCATTATTTTCTACTGCATAGGAAGAGTATGCAGCTGATATCTTTGAGCTGCATTTTCCTGTGCTACACAATGTGGAAAACTGGTGTTTGTTGTTTTGGTCCGCCCAGCACGCCTGTCCCATTCTTCAAGTAGTCCCAGCCCACTTCCTTTGGAGTAAGACACCTCTTCCATGCAACATTGCAAGATCAAGCACCCTGCCCCTGCTGGACATCGATCAGGTGGGCACATGGCTCAAGACAAGCCAATCAGGTACTCCTCTGGGATTTTGCTTATAGATGCTGAAAGCAAGAAGCTCTCTCTTTCTTCTGGAACTAAGCTGGGATTATGCGAGTCTATAGCTGCCTGCCTGTGGCTGCAACTTCTGCACAAATAAAGCCAATTTGCATTGGAAGAAAATGAGCTCAATGTGTTAACAGAACTAGATGAGCAAGAGAGAGGTGACGGCTCCATTTGAGGTCCTGAAACCAGCTTTATCTTTGGACTTCCCAGTTACATGAGCCAGTAAATTTCCTTCATTTACCTAAGCCAGCCACATAAAAAGTTCTGAATGATACCCGTAGCTCTTAATGGTGAGACTGATCCGTGTTAACTCTTCATGTTGACCAAGAACATATAACTATACAATTATAAAGTAACTGTTTTTGTCTCTCACTGTCCCTTTAATCCAGACCATGGGACTCATTTTCCCCTGCCACTAGCTGAAAAATCAGGCAGTTGCATGAGTTTTCTGGTTACTTTGGGGTAATAAAAATAATCTCAATCTGGTGATTAAAATGTTGAGTCCTACGAATTTGATTTAAAATCAGCATTTCTCCCCTCCTGCAGATTGAGCATGCTGCATGCAGGAAGGGCTGCGGTCATTTTCTTCTTTTTTTAACTCATCGACTTTTTCTCCTCTTCTCCCATCCCAATAGCTGTGCTTTGTGGTTAGAATCCAGAGAGAGGGAGAGAGGCAGGAGCTCCCTCTGAGAGCCACTGCTGTGCCACTCTGCTCCGGGGCCCTCTTGGCTTGGCGGGCATTTCAGATTGCCCACAGGGCAGCTGCTTTCTCCATGGAGTGCCCCTGCCCTGTGGCTGGTGGTCACTCACCTGCATCCCCTTGACAGAGCTTCTCTATTCCAGATGGCTCTTCCTCCTCAGGCCCTGACAATCCAGCCATCCATTCAGCTTCTCTCTGTTTGCCCTTTAGGTGGTCTTCTTGGAAACAACCTAAGACAAGCCAACGTCGGTTAGCTCCCGTGGGAGGCCCACACCTGGTCTGTGAAAAACACATCATTTTTGCCCCACAAGCTAGGGGAGCCTTTTGTCTTTCTTTCACTCTGCTTTTGAAGCAGCTAGCCACCTGCCTTCAGGTGGGAGTCACACACTGGACCTCTGTGTCAGTCAGGCAGTTAGAACATATCATTTTTCTCCTAAAAATCAACCTTTTAAAAATTGAGATGAGAGGAAAGGCACCACCTCTGACCTCACTAAAGTGGGCATGGTGGGGAAAAGCTACACTTACATGTCCACAGCTCTCTCTAAAAATCTTCTCCTATTTCCTTGAAGGCCACATTACCAGGAGTCAGGTGGGACCCCCTACCCCTCTTTTTGGGGAGTAGGTTTCATACTACAGCTCTCTCCAAAGAAATCCTCTTGAGAAATGCTTCAATTGCCATCCTCTATACCTTCATTGTGGAAAAAGGGTCTAAGAACCGGGGAGCTGGTTCTTGGCACCTATTTTGAAAATCCCGCAACTTCTTTGGCACCTCATTTGGAATGCAGTTCCCATTGTCTTTGGACCTCTGCTGAAACTTCCATGTAACATTCTGTTCCACAAACCTGCCATGTTTGGTCAGGACAAGGAATCAATTAGATAAATGTATAAAGCGCCATGTAAATGCAAAATAAACTTACGTAATGGGAGATGACATTTTAAAAGTAAAGCTAAGCTCGGTGTATGAGTTGTGATTGTCACGTTGAGAGGTAAATAAGATAGGGGCTGGTGTGGGACAGAGGTTTCAGGTAGGCATGAGTAAGACCGGCTGGAGACAGGAAAGGTTTGTGGCAGGGCATTTTGCTTGTGCGGGTGAGTGAAGGGAAGGCCTCCGCCTGAGCAGTGACAGCCCTGTGTGGCAAGGACCTGCTTCAGAGTGACCACACTTAGGGTGTCATGTTTGGATAGCCCCTAAGTTCAGACTCTACCTTTCAGGTCCCTGGCATTGGTAAATAAAATGGCAATTGTAAATGAAACCTGTGGTTTTCAAACTGCTGTGAGTCATCCTGGAATTTCTTGCAGGAACTTGAGGGACTTCCACAGAAAGGTGGGGGAGCCAGGTGGGCAGGAGTCCCGGCTATCTGTCCCGGTTCCACCAGAGCAGTGTCCTGCTATTCGCTTTATGAAATGGAGATTTTGTGTCTGATTTCATCAGGAAAGAAAGGGAATTCTCCTGCTATAAACCATCTTAAAGCCACTGAGTCAGATCAGTAAAATGCGTGGCTGGAGTGAGTACTCATTATTCTAAATATACAACTTGTCTGCTACTACCATGACTACCAAAAACCACTTATTCAATCCCTCTTAGATTGTGGAACGCTTTCCTGACATTAATTCTAATATTCACAACAACCCAGCAAGAGAAATAATAGTATTCTGATTTCACTGTGATTCAGAGAGATTAAATGACTTGCCCAAGGTCACATAGCCAATATTTAAACTATATGGTTGGATGCATTGACTCCTAAGACTTACAAAGTATTGACTGGACCTCTAGCTAGGCAGACAACATGGTGTGTGTTCTGTGGAAGCAGAGATGGCCTAGTGTCATCACGAGAGGAAACCACCAATGCAGGGCCATGGCGTGCTCTTGGAGGAATGAGGCTGTAGAGGAAGATACAGGGGCAGCTACGCAGCTTTTTTTCTGTCTGTAGGGTTGGGCTACCCCAAGCTCCAAGCAGTTCCTATCAGTAGAAACGGGATTAGCAATGGAATGAGAGTGCTTAGTCTGTGAAGGTTAATCCCTGTTTAAATGGGGGTTGTCATGCCTGTCATCATGTGCCACCCTCCAAATCTCTGGGAATAATTCCTTATTTCAGAAATAAACAGCTGGGTGCTATTAATGTCTCCACATTGAGTTTCATGAAAAACTCATTTGCATTGCAAGACAGCCTCCCCAATTTTTAAAGATGAAACTATGACACAATGTCCCCCAGATGGGACAGGAATTCCAGGCTAGTGACGAGAACCCACCAAAAAGAAGTCTTCTAACTCCTTGGGCTGTCTCTTCAAGCAAAATTCCTTGAGTAGCCAAGGTTGAAGGAGTCACTGCTGCCCTGAGCCTGCGGGGTGGATGGGAGGACCAGGTGTTTCCAGCAGCCTGCTGCCAAGTGTGCAGAAATGGGCTCCCTGTTGAGTCTCTCCTGTTCCAGTGACTGGAGGGTCTCATTAGCCTGTGCACACTAATGGGTTTCTTTAGGGACAATGAGGTCCTTGGGGATGTGGAGGCTGGAGAGAAACTGGTAAAGCTGATGGAGTTTTACAGGTTTCATGGAGTGCAATTTGAATTTATCCCTCCCTTCCCGGTGTAATCCCAGCTGCCTTAACAGCTTCTTTGTGTTTAGCGTTTTTTTTTTTTTCTGGAAGCCTTGACAACAGGGTATTTTGACTTCATTATTAAGAATGTTGACCCTGACATAAGTGTGCTAAAGGGAGAAAAGTGATACAGATGGGGAGCTGGGAAAGAATAACTCAACACCTACAACAAGGTAGCCAACAAAATGTGCTAACTTAAACAGAAAGTATGGTCAGCAGTTTCCATCACTGAAATATATCAAGCTGTCAGGGAGGCATGCAGGCCTCCCACCAGTAAGGACTCTGGGGTCCCTCTCAGTGTCTGGCTCCCAGTGCACCCCCTTTTCCTTTCTACCAGCCCCAGGAAGTTTTTAAAGGGCCACCCCTTTTAAAGTGCTACTCCTCTTTCAAGATTCTGCTCCTTTTATTACTGAGGGAGGAATTCATTGCCTCTGCTTTCTTCACAAAGAGTCCCCATTAGCGCCCTGGCCTGAACACCATTTAAACTGGACAATAAGATATTGCTGTACAATTTTCCTCTGGCTTAGTAATGAAGCCCAAGCCGTCTGTTTATTTACAATAACCCCTTCATCCTCAGTTATAAGATAAAACTCCATGGTGTCTCTGGGACAAGGGATCTACAGCTCCTCTGGCCACATAGGGCCAAGTTAGCCTCATGACATGCTGGCACCCCACAGGTCCAGCCAGCGAGGGAAGTATGTGTGTGAATTGGGGTTTATACTGTTGGGGTGGGTACTCAGGGCTATTTAGCCAGCTAGCAGGACTTCAAGAATCCAAAGAGCAAATAATACTTTAATTGGTGTGGGTAGCATCCTGGTTCTGGGTCTTCCACCCACTCAGGACAAGACCAGAGCCAGAGATGGAATCATGCATGGTAGTTAGGACCATCAACCTGGGAGAAGAAGCCAGGGCAGGTCTGGAAGTAAAGGACTTAGAGGCAGGGTTTCATTCTTCAGATACTCAGTGAGCATCTATCATATGTCTGGCTCTGTGAGGGGACTTTCCATACCTGCCCTCATTTAACCCTAACCTGGAGAAGCTGCTTATAGATAAGGAGGCTGAGGTTCTCAGAAGCTGAAGTGCTTGCTCAGGATTACAGAGCAAAGTAAGGGACTGGGATTTGAACCCAAGACCTCTGACTCAAATTCAGGGCTCTGTCTAGCAAGCTGTACTGCCTTTGCCCAGCCGCAGTGGGTCCCACATAGTCACTGTAAATCCTTGGTTACCTACCCCTTGATGTCTAGTTTGTTTCTTCTTTTTCTGCCATTTCTAGCAGCTATCCACCTAGGGGATTTAGTCCTTCAGTAAGAAAGTGGCAATATGGAGGACTGCCTAAGCAGAATTCTCAATGGAATCTTGCACAGTGAGGCACAGTTTAGAGGGCACTCTTCAACATGCATCTCAGGCATTTCCACTGTCTAATAAGTTAGTATGAATTTTCCGTCTCTGTGCTCTATTTTTCTATGACTCAGGTTATTTTCTATTTCAAACTCCATTTCGCTATCTGGCAGAAAATTTAATCTCAGTTCATTTGAGGTGAAGTTATTTATTTCAGGCTTCTACTTGAGTTAATTTAAGATTTTAATCCCTGACCCCACTACCAACCTGAGATGGCAGTGGTGTTGGGAGATCCAGGGATCTTAGGTAGTGTCATAGCTTCAGGGGCAAGAGGATCAGGCCCCTGGCTGTTGGTATCTTTCCATTCTGTTACTCACTGAGATGGGCAAAACTCCTTGTGCTCAGGCCTTGCCATCCTGCCACACTGGCACCTACCAGAGCACCAAGTTGCTAGCTGGCCTGCAGCCATGCGGTCCTCTCCATTTTGGCTGTGTTGTCCCTGCATCAGGGCTTTAATATCTTTTCAGATTGGTTTTCTCTTTCCCCCCACACTCCTCTGGGGCACAGAGAGGGTCTACTGTTGTCCACACCTTTCTGGTCAGTGGGAAACCCAAAAGGGGTATTTTAGGTCTTCTCTGCTTCAACATCATCCCAATCATCTATGCCCAACTGCTGCCTGCCTGGTGGGGCGGGACGTTCTAGGAGGTTCATGCTGCTCAAGTCCAGTTGGGATGCAGGGCACTTAGGAATCAAGGCAGAGGTCACTTCTCTGAAGTCCACACTCTTGTTTAAAGGTTCTGTTTCTTCATTTAAAGCAAGTCTTAGGGAGTTGTGGGAACATGCCAGAGCCCAGGGAGCTCCTCAGATACCACCACCAGCCCCTTCTCTTCAACCTCAGTTCAGAGAAACTTAAAAAAATCCTTTCTCAGTCATCAGGGAGAGAAAACTGGTTCTGCTGGTTCTTCCCAAGGAATCATGGCCAGCATCAACCTTCCCTCTTTTTTTTTTTTTTTTTTTATTATTATACTTTAAGTTTTAGGGTACATGTGCACAACGTGCAGGTTAGTTACGTATGTATACATGTGCCATGTTGGTGTGCTGCACCCATTAACTCGTCATTTAATATTAGGTGTATCTCTTAATGCTATCCCTCCCCCCTCCCCCCACCCCACAACAGGCCCCGGTGTGTGATGTTCCCCTTCCTGTGTCCATGTGTTCTCATTGTTCAGTTCCCACCTATGAGTGAGCAACTGGCCAGTGAGTGAAAGGGGAGAGGGTGACAGATGAAAATGAGGTGTGTTTGTAGGATTGCTAAAGGACGGTGATTATAACTCATAAAATTGTCCTGTCCCGGTGAAATTGTTTAAACCTGTGCAGTAGTAACTGCAAGTACTTTTCTTTTTTCTTTTCTTTTCTTTTTTTTTAGTATTTATTGATCATTCTTGGGTGTTTCTCGGAGAGGGGGATGTGGCAGGGTCATAGGATAATAGTGGAGAGAAGGTCAGCAGATAAACACGTGAACAAAGGTCTCTGGTTTTCCTAGGCAGAGGTCACTGAGGCCTTCCGCAGTGTTTGCGTCCCTGGGTACTTGAGATTAGGGAGTGGTGATGACTCTTAAGGAGCATGCTGCCTTCAAGCATCTGTTTAACAAAGCACATCTTGCACTGCCCTTAATCCATTTAACCCTGAATTGACACAGCACACGTTTCAGAGAGCACGGGGTGGGGGTAAGGTTATAGATTAACAGCATCCCAAGGCAGAAGAATTTTTCTTAGTACAGAATGAAATGGAGTCTCCTATGTCTACTTCTTTCTACACAGACACAGTAACAATCTGATCTCTCTTTCTTTTCCTCACATTTCCCCCTTTTCTTTTCGACAAAACCGCCATCGTCATCATGGCCCCTTCTCGATGGTCGCTGTCTCTTTGGAGCTGTTGGGTACACCTGCAGAAAGGCTGTCACTTCACACTTGGAAGATTGCACAGCGGCCGGGCAGAGGTGCTCCTCACTTCCCAGACAGGGCGGCCGGGCAGAGGCGCTCCTCACTTCCCAGACGATGGGCGGCCGGGCAGAGGCGCTCCTCACTTCCCAGATGATGGGCGGCCGGGCAGAGGCGCTCCTCACTTCCCAGACGATGGGCGGCCGGGCAGAGGCGCTCCTCACTTCCCAGACAGGGCGGCCGGGCAGAGGCGCTCCTCACTTCCCAGACGATGGGCGGCCGGGCAGAGGCGCTCCTCACTTCCCAGACAGGGTGGCGGCCGGGCAGAGGCGCTCCTCACCTCCCAGACGGGAACGGCAAGTACTTTTCTAGTGCATACTATGTGCTAGGCACGAGATGCTGCCAGTATAATAACTTATTTCTTTCTCATGAATCCTATTTATTCTATATATATAATTATTATTTTAATTTTTGTGGGTACGTAGTAGGTATATATATTTATGGGGCACATGAATGTTTAGATATAGGCATAGAATATGAAATAAGCACACATGGAGAATGGGGTGATTGCAAATATTTTATCCTTTGAGTTACAAACAATCCAATAACTCCTTTAATTATTTAAAACTGTACAAATAAGTTATTATTGATTATAGTAACCCTGTTGGGCTATCAACCTGGTAAGTCTCATTCATTCTTTTTATTTTTTTGTACCCATTAACCATCTCCCTTCCTCCCCAGCACCCTGCTACCCTTCCCAGCCTCTGGTAACCATCCTTCTACTCTCTCTGTCCTTGAGTTCAATTGTTTTCATTTTTAGGTCCCACAAATAAGTGAGAACATGTGATATTTGTCTTTCTGTTTCTGGCTTATTTCACTTAACATAATGACCTCCAGTTCCATTCATGTTGTTGCAAATGACAGGCTTTCATTCTTTTTTATGGCTTAAGTACTCTATTGTGGATATGTATCACATTTTCCTTATCCATTCATCTGTTGATGGACATTTAGATTGCTTCCAAATCTTAGCTATTGTAAAAGCTGCAACAAACACAGGAGTGCAGATGTGTCTTCAATATGCTGATTTCCTTTCTTCTGGGTATATACCCAGCAGTAAGATTGCTGGAGCGTATGCTAGCTCTATTTTTAGTTTTTTGAGGAACTTCCAAACTCTTCTCCATAGTAGTTGTACTAATTTACATTCCCACCAACAGCATATAAGGGTTCCCTTTTCTTCACATTCTCACCAGCATTTGTTATTGCCTGTCTTTTGGATAAAAGTCATTTTAACTGGGGTGAGATGATATCTCATTGTTGTTTTGATTTGCATTCCTCTGATGATCAGTGATGTTGAACACCTTTTCATATGCCTGTTTGCCATTTGTATGTCTTTTGAGAAATATCTATTCAAATCTTTTGCCCATTTTTTGATTGGATTAGATTTTTTCCTAAAGAGTTGTTTGGGCTCCTTATATATTCTTTTTATTAATCCCTTATCAGATGGACAGTTTGTAAATATTTTCTCCCATTCTGTATGTTGTCTCTTCACTTTGTTATTGTTTCTTTGCTCTGCAGAAGCTTTTAAACTTGATATAATCCCATTTGCCCCCTTTTAACTTTGGTTGCCTATGCTTGTGGGGTATTGCTTAAGAAATCTTTGCCCAGACCAATGTCCTGGAGATTTTCCACAATGTTTTCTTGTAGTAGTTTCATACTTTCAGGTCTTAGATTAAGTCTTTAATCCATTTTGATTTGATTTTTGCATGTGATGAGAGATACGGGTCTCTCATCTATTTCTGCAGTAGTTTTATTCTTCTGCATATGGATATCCAGGTTTCCCAGCACCATTTATTGAAGAGACTGTCTTTTCTTCAGTGTATGTTCTTGGCACCTTTGTCGAAAATGTGTTCACTGTAGGTGTATGGATTTGTTTCTGGATTCTCTATTCTGTTCCATTGGTCTATGTGTCTATTTTTATGCCAGTACCATGCTGTTTTGGTTACTGTAGCCCTGCAGTAACCAAAAGTAGTACTACAGTACTATAGCTATGTAGTAATTTGAAGCCAGGTAATGTGATTCCCCCAGTTTTTTTCTCTTTGCTTAGGATGGGTTTGGCTATTCTGTCTTTTTTGTTTGTTTGTTTTTTGTTTTTTGTGGTTCCATATAAATTTTAGGATTTTTGTTCTATTTCTGTGAAGAATGTCATTGGTATTTTGATAGGGATTGCATTGAATCTGTAGATTGCTTTGGTAGTATGGACATTTTAACAATATTGATTCTTTCAATCCATAAACATTGAATATTTTTCCATTTTTTGTTCACTTTAATTTCTTTCATCTATATTTTATAGTTTTCATTATAGAGATCGTTCACTTCTTTTTTTGCTGTTTACTTTTTTATTAGTACAGATAATAATATTACAGCTTACAAAATGAATTTCTAAGCTTTACTAGTTATGTTATAATCAGTAGATACTAAAAATTCCAAGAAATAAATGACTTTTTTCTTCTTTCTATAACCTCTCCAATCTTTAAAACTTAACTGATGGTTAACGTACTGTAAATAGTTCCAACATCATCATATTGTTTTTGTGTTTTGGATTTGCATGAAAGAACAATAATGATGAAACTCATTCCAATCATAATGTTTATGTTTAATACTGTGAGGAGTTGTACTTTTTTTAGCCCATTGAGCACTGAAGCTCAATTTTAGTGTACAGATCAAGACAAAATCATAACCTTTTAAATGTGTTGCTATATACTATTAATGGCATTATATTAAAATAACTTTGGGCATCAGAGTAGATCAATCTACTTTGGAGGTATGGGCTGAAAATGTTTATAAAATGTTTTATTAAAGTGATTAATAATGAAATATAAATAATTACAGATATTTTCATTGTTCTTTTTATACAGAAGATACACAGAAACTATGATGCAGATTGACTTAGATCAAGGCCATGCTATGTGTGTAATACACTGGTATTATGATATAGATATAAATGACTGTACTTAGTTTTGGTAGAGTGGTTGCCACAAAAATGTTTATCATTTTTGTCAACGAAGGTCAACACATAAAGGCCTGCTCATTTTTTAAATGGAGGTTGAGGTAATGTTATAAATGTGAATTTAAAAGACAGGTTGATGGTCTGATAGGTTTAGATTAGGGAGGAGGCTGTATCCAGCAGAGAACAGCATAAGGAAAGCAAAAGGCACATACTGGGAATCAAGTTTAATAGTTCAGGATACCTGCTCATTGGTAAATAGTGAAATGCAAGGCTAGAATTCTGGGGTAACCTGGCTTGGTAATGATATATATCTATCTATATCTATATATATCACCTTCTGTCATTATATATATATTGAGATGGAGTCTTGCTCTGTTGCCTAGGTTGGAGTGCAGTGGCACTATCTCCACTCACTGCAACCTCCACCTCCCAGGTTCAAGCAATTCTCCTGCTTCAGACTCCCGAGTAGCTGGGATTACAGGCACCCACCACCATGCTCGGCTAATTTTTGTATTTTAGTAGAGATGAAGTTTCACTATGTTGGCCAGGCTGGTCTCGAACTCCTAACCTCAAGTGATCTGCCCACCTTGGCATCCCAAAGTGCGGGATTACAGGCATAAACCACTGTGCCCAGCCAATAATGATAATTATAACGAGAAATAAGCCTTTTAAAGGTTAAGAAAGAGTCACTGAAGTATGATAAATGAAACTAGGAGTCATTAATTTGTTTCCAATTTACCAGATTGGAAGTGAATGGGACTGTTGACATTGGGAAGAGAAAAGGCCTAGTTATCCCATTACTAGTAGTATCGAAACATAGAGGCTGCAGCTACTACAAGGAGAACTGCGTATCTTAGTAGGAAGAGAGGAGGTGATAAGTACAGAGCCTTTCTCTCTTCTCCATCCTGCCCTTATGCCACTGCCAACCTTTTACTCTAAATAACATCTCAGTCTACCCGAGCAAGAATACATTGCTTTGGATATGGCACATTAAGAAAATGAACATGGTTTTACAGCATGGGACACAATTTTTTTTTTATACTTTAAGTTTTAGGGTACATGTGCACCACATGCAGGTTTGTTACATATGTACACATGTGCCATGTTGGTGTGCTGCACCCATTAACTCGTCATTTAGCATTAGGTATATCTCCTAATGCTATCCCTCCCCACTCCCCCCACTCCACAACAGTCCCCGGTGTGTGATGTTCCCCTTCCTGTGTCCATGTGTTCTCATTGTTCAATTCCCACCTATGAGTGAGAACATGTGGTGTTTGGTTTTTTGTCCTTGCGATAGTTTGCTGAGAATGATGGTTTCCAGCTTCATCCATGTCCCTACAAAGGATATAAACTCATCCTTTTTTATGGCTGCATAGTATTCCATGGTGTATATGTGCCACATTTTCTTAATCCAGTCTATCATTGTTGGACATCTGGGTTGGTTCCAAGTCTTTGCTATTGTGAATAGTGCCGCAATAAACATACGTGTGTATGTGTCTTTATAGCAGCATGATTTATAATCCTTTGGGTATATACCCAGTAATGGGATGGCTGGGTCAAATGGTATTTCTAGTTCTAGATACCTGAGGGATCGCCACACTGACTTCCACAATGGTTGAACTAGTTTACAGTCCCACCAACAGTGTAAAAGTGTTCCTATTTCTCCACATCCTCTCCAGCACCTGTTGTTTCCTGACTTTTTAATGATCGCCATTCTAACTGGTGTGAGATGATATCTCATTGTGGTTTTGATTTGCATTTCTCTGATGGCCAGTGATGATGAGCATTTTTTCTGTGTTTTTTGGCTGCATAAATGTCTTCTTTTGAGAAGTGTCTGTTCATATCCTTCACCCACTTTTTGATGGGGTTGTTTGTTTTTTTCTTGTAAATTTGTTTTGAGTTCATTGTAGATTCTGGATAATAGTCCTTTGTCAGATGAATTGGTTGCAAAAATTTTCTCCCATTCTGTAGGTTGCCTGTTCACGCTGATGGTAGTTTCTTTTGCTGTGCAGAAGCTCTTTAGTTTAATTAGATCCCATTTGTCAATTTTGGCTTTTGATGCCATTGCTTTTGGTGTTTTAGACATGAAGTCCTTGCCCATGCCTATATCCTGAATGGTATTGCCTAAGTTTTCTTCTAGGCTTTTTATGGTTTTAGGTCTAATATTTAAGTCTTTAATCCATCTTGAATTAATTTTTGTATAAGGTGTAAGGAAGGGATCCAGTTTCAGCTTTCTACATATGGCTAGCCAGTTTTCCCAGCACCATTTATTAAATCGAGAATCCTTTCCCCGTTTCTTGTTTTTGTCAGGTTTGTCAAAGATCAGATAGTTGTAGATATGTGGAATTATTTCTGAGGGCTCTGTTCTGTTCCATTGGTCTATATCTCTGTTTAGATACCAGTAGCATGCTGTTTTGGTTACTGTAGCCTGAAGTCAGGTAGCCTGATGCCTCCAGCTTTGTTCTTTTGGCTTAGGACTGACTTGGCAATGTGGGCTCTTTTTTGGTTCCATATGAACTTTAAAATAGTTTTTTCCAATTCTGTGAAGAAAGTCATTGGTAGCTTGATGGGGATGGCATTGAATCTATAAATTACCTTGGGCAGTATGGCCATTTTCACGATATTGATTCTTCCTACCCATGAGCATGGAATGTTCTTCCATTTGTTTGTAATCCTCTTTTATTTCATTGAGCAGTGGTTTGTAGTTCTCCTTGAAGAGGTCCTTCACATCCCTTGTAAGTTGGATTCCTAGGTATTTTATTCTCTTTGAAGCAATTGTGAATGGGAGTTCACTCATGATTAGGCTCTCTGTTTGTCCGTTATTGGTGTATAAGAATGCTTGTGATTTTTGTACATTGATTTTGTATCCTGAGACTTTGCTGAAGTTGCTTATCAGCTTAAGGAGATTTTGGGCTGAGATGATCGGGTTTTCTAGATATACAGTCATGTCATCTGCAAACAGGGATAATTTGACTTCCTCTTTTCCTAATTGGATGCCCTTTATTTCCTTCTCCTGCCTGATTGCCCAGGCCAGAACTTCCAACACTATGTTGAATACGAGTGGTGAGAGAGGGCATCCCTGTCTTGTGCCAGTTTTCAAAGGGAATGCTTTCAGTTTTTGCCCATTCAGTATGATATTGGCTGTGGGTTTGTCATAGATAGCTCTTATTATTTTGAGATATGTCCCATGAATACCTAATTTATTGAGAGTTTTTAACATGAAGGGTTGTTGAATTTTGTCAAAGGCCTTTTCTGCATCTATTGAGATAATCATGTGGTTTTTGTCTTTGGTTCTGTTTATATGCTGGATTACATTTATTGATTTTCGTATGTTGAACCAGCCTTGCATCCCAGGGATGAAGCCCACTTGATCATGGTGGATAAGCTTTTTGATGTGTTGCTGGATTCGGTTTGCCAGTATTTTAATGAGGATTTTTGCATCAATGTTCATCAAGGATATTGGTCTAAAATTCTCTTTTTTTGTTGTGTCTCTGCCAGGCTTTGGTTTCAGGATGATGCTGTCCTCATAAAATAAGTTCAGGAGGATTCCCTCTTTTTTTATTGATTGGAATAGTTTCAGAAGGAATGATACCAGCTCCTCCTTGTACCTCTGGTAGAATTCAGCTGTGAATCCATCTGGTCCTGGACTTTTTTTGGTTGGTAAGCTGTTAATTATTGCCTCAATTTCTGAGCCTGTTATTGGTCTATTCAGAGATTCAACTTCTTCCTGGTTTAGTCTTGGGAGAGTGTACATGTCCAGGAATTTATCCATTTCTTCTAGATTTTCTAGTTTATTTGCGTAGAGGTGTTTATAGTATTCTCTGATGGTAGTTTGTATTTCTGTGGGATCAGTGGTGATATCCCCTTTGTCATTTTTTATTGCGTCTATTTGATTCTTCTCTCTTTTCTTCTTTATTAGTCTTGCTAGCGGTCTATCAATTTTGTTGATCTTTTCAAAAAACCAGCTCCTGGATTCATTGATTTTTTGAAGGGGTTTTTGTGTCTCTATTTCCTTCAGTTCTGCTCTGATCTTAGTTATTTCTTGCCTTCTGCTAGCTTTTGAATTTGTTTGCTCTTGCTTCTCTAGTTCTTTGAATTGTGATGTTAGGGTGTTGATTTTAGATCTTTCCTGCTTTCTCTTGTGGGCATTTAGTGCTATAAATTTCCCTCTACACACTGCTTTGAATGTGTCCCAGAGATTCTGGTATGTTGTGTCTTTGTTCTCGTTGGTTTCAAAGAACATCTTTATTTCTGGCTTCATTTTGTTATGTACCCAGTAGTCATTCAGGAGCAGGTTGTTCAGTTTCCATGTAGTTGACTGGTATTGAGTGAGTTTCTTAATCCTGAGTTCTTGTTTGATTGCACTGTGGTCTGAGAGACAGTTTGTTATAATTTCTGTTCTTTTACGTTTGCTGAGGAGTGCTTTACTTCCAACTATGTGGTCAATTTTGGAATAAGTGCAATGTGGTGTTGAGAAGAATGTATATTCTATTGATTCAGGGTGGAGAGTTCTTTAGATGTCTATTAGGTCTGCTTGTTGCAGAGCTGAGTTCAAGTCCTGGATATCCTTGTTAACCTTCTGTCTCGTTGATCTGTCTAATATTGTTAGTGGGATGTTAAAGTCTCCCATTATTATTGTGTGGGAGTCTAAGTCTCTGTAGGTCTCTAAGGACTTGCTTTATGAATCTGGGTGCTTCTGTATTGGGTGCATATATATTTAGGATAGTTAGCTCTTCTTGTTGCATTGATCCCTTTACCATTATGTAATGGCCTTCTTTGTCTCTTTTGATCTTTGTTGGTTTAAAGTCTGTTTTATCAGAGACTAGGATTGCAACCCCTGCTTTTTTTGCTTTCCATTTGCTTGGTAGATCTTCTTCCATCCCTTTATTTTGAGCCTATGTGTGTCTCTGCATGTGAGATGGGTCTCCTGAATACAGCACACTGATGGGTCTTGACTCTTTATCCAATTTGCCAGTCTGTGTCTTTTAATTGGAGCATTTAGTCCATTTACATTTAAGGTTAATATTGTTATGTGTGAATTCGATCCTGTCATTATGATGGTAGCTGGTTATTTTGCCCGTTAGTTGATGCAGTTTCTTCCTAGCATCGATGGTCTTTACAATTTGGCATGTTTTTGCAGTGGCTGGTTCCAGTTGTTCCTTTCCATGTTTAGTGCTTCCTTCAGGGGCTCCTGTAAGGCAGGCCTGGTGGTGACAAAATCTCTCAGCATTTGTTTGTCTGTAAAGGATTTTATTTCTCCTTCACTTATGAAGCTTAATTTGGCTGGATATGAAATTCTGGGTTGAAAATTCTTTTCTCTGAGAATGTTGAATATTGGCCCCCACTCTATTCTGGCTTGTAGAGTTTCTGCTGAGAGATCAGCTGTTAGTCTGATGGGCTTCCCTTTGTGGGTAACCCGACCTTTCTCCCTGGCTGCCCTTAGCATTTTTTCCTCTTTTCAACCTTGGTAAATCTGACAATTATGTGTCTTGGGGTTGCTTTTCTCGAGGAGTATCTTTGTGGTGTTCTCTGTATTTCCTGAATTTGAATGTTGGCCTGCCTTGATAGGTTGGGGACATTCTCCTGGATAATATCCTGAAGAGTGTTTTCCAGCTTAATTCCATTCTCCCCGTCACTTTCAGGTACACCAATCAAGCGTAGATGTGGTCTTTACTCATAGTCCCATATTTCTTGGAGGTTTTATTTCTTTTTACTCTTTTGTCTCTAAACTTCTCTTCTTGCTTCATTTCATTCATTTGATCTCCAATCACTGATACTCTGTATTCCGCTGAAGCTTGTGCATGCATCACATAGTTCTTGTGCCATGGTTTTCAGTCCATCAGGTCATTTAAGGTCTTCTCTGCACTGTTTATTCTAGTTAGCCATTCGTGTAATCTTTTTTCAAGGTTTTTAGCTGCCTTGCAATGGGTTCGAACATCCTCCTTTAGCTCGGAGAAGTCTGTTATTACCGACCTTTTGAAGCCTACTTCTGTCAGCTGGTCAAAGTCATTCTCAGTCCAGCTTTGTTCTGTTGCTGGTGAGGAGCTGTGATCCTTTGGAGGAGAAGAGGCACTCTGGTTTTTAGAATTTTCGGCTTTTCTGCTCTGGTTTCTCCCCATCTTTGTGGTTTTATCTACCTTTGGTCTTTGATGATGGTGACCTACAGATGGGGTTCTGGTGTGGATGTCTTTTTTGTTGATGTTGATGCTATTCCTTTCTGTGTGTTAGTTTTCCTTCTAACAGTCAGGTTCCTCAGCTGCAGGTCTGTTGGAGTTTGCTGGAGGTCCACTCCAGACCCTGTTTGCCTTGGTATCACCAGCAGAGGATGCAGAACAGCAAATATTGCAGAACAGCCAATATTGCTCTCTGATCCTTCCTCTGGAAGCTTCGTCTCAGAGGGGCACCCGGCTGTATGAGGTGTCAGTTGGCCCCTACTGGGAGTTGTCTCCCAGTTAGGCTACATGGGGGTCAGGGACCCACTTGAGGAGGCAGTCTGTCTTTTCTCAGAGCTCAAACACCATGCTGGGAGAACCACTGCTTTCTTCAGAGCTGTCAGACAGGGACATTTAAGTCTGCAGAAGTTTCTGCTGCCTTTTGTTCAGCTATGCCCTGCCCGCAAAGGTAGAGTCTATAGAGGCAGGCAGGCCTCATTGAGCTGAGGTGGACTCTACCCAGTTTGAGCTTCCCAGCTGCTTTGTTTACCTACTCAAGCCTCAGCAATTGCAGATGCCCCTCCCACAGCCAGACTGCCACCTTGCAGTTTGATCTTGGACTGCTGCACTAGCAGTGAGCAAGGCTCTATGGGCATGGGACCCGCCGAGCCAGGCACAGGATATAATCTCCTGGTGTGCCGTTTGCTAAGACCATTGGAAAAGTGCAGTATTTGGGTGGCAGTGTCCCAATTTTCTAGGTACAGTCTGTCACGGCTTCCCTTGGCTAGGAAAGGGAAATCCCCCGACCTTTTGCACTTCCCAGGTGAGGCGATACCCTGCCCTGCTTTGGCTCACCCTCTGTGGGCTGCACTCACTGTCCAACCAGCCCCAATGAGATGAACCAGGTACCTCAGTTGGAAATGCAGAAAGCACCTTCTTCTGTTTTGACCACGCTGGGAGCTGCAGACCTTAGCTGTTCCTATTCGGCCATCTTGGAATGGCTATCGAGATCTTGCACTTCTTTAGTTAATTCCTAGGTATTTAATTTTATGTGTGGCTATTGTAAGTGGGGTAACTTTTTTATTTCTTTTTCAGATTGTTCACTGTTGGCATATAGAAATGCTACTGATTTTGGTTATGTTGATTTTATATCCTGCAACTAAATTTGTTCATCATTTTTAATAGGTTTCTTGTGTAATCTTTAGATTTTTTCAAATATAGGATCATATCATCTGCAAACAACGATGATTTCACTTCTTTTCTAATTTGGATGCCCTTTATATCTTTCTCTTGTCTGATTGCTCTAGCTAGAACTTCCAGTACTGTGTTGGATAACAGTGATATCAGTGGGCATCCTTGTCATGTTCCAGATCTTAGAGGAGGGGATTTCAGTTTTTTCCCCATTCAGTATGATACTAGCTGTGGGTCTGTTGTATATGGCTTTTATTATGTTAACTTATACTCCTGCTATACTCAGTTTTTTTGAGGGTTTTTATCATGAAGGAATGTTGAATTTTATCAAATCCTTTTTCAGTATCAATTGAAATAATCATATGGTTTTTATCCTTCATTCTGTTGATATATCACATTGATTGATTTGATATGTTGAACTTTCTTCGCAAAGCATTTGATATGTTAAGCCATTCTTGCATCCCAGGGATAAATCCCACTTGGTCATGATGAAAGATCTTTCTAATGTATTGTTGAATTTGGTTTGCTATTATTTTGTTGCAAAAAATTGCATTAATATTTGTCAGAGATTCTGGCCTGCAGTTTCCTTTTGTTGATGTGTCTTTATCTGGTTTTGGTATTGGGGTAATGCTAGCCTCATAGAATGAGTTTGGAAGTATTCCCTGCTCCTCTATTTTTTTGAAATAGTTTGAGTTGGATTGATATTATTTCTTCTTTAAATGTTTTGTAGAATTCATCATTGAAGTCATCGGGTCCTGGGCTTTTCTTTACTGGGAGAGTTTTTGTTATGGCTTTGATCTCACTACTTGTTACTGGTTTGTCCAGGTTTTGGATTTCTTCCTGGTTCAATCTTGGTAGATTGTATGTGTCCAGAAATGTGTCCATTTGTTCTAGATTTTCTAATTTACTGGCATATAGTTGCTCATAGTAACTTCTAATGAACCTTTGAATTTCTGCTGTATTAGTTGTAATGTCTCCTTTTTCATTTCTGATTTTATTTATTTGTATCTTCTCTCTTTTTTCTTAGTTAGTCTGGCTCAAGGTTTGTCAATTTTGTTTAACTTTTCAAAATCCAACTTTTTGTTTCATTGATCTTTTGTATTTTTTCACTTCGATTTCATTAATTTCCACTCTGATCTTTATTATTTCTTTTCTTCTACTAATTTTGTGTTTGGGTTGTTCTTGCTTTTCTCATTCCTTAAGATGCATCATCAGGTTGTTTATTTGAAGGTTTTTTTCTCTTTTTTTTTTCTGAGACGGAGTCTCTCTCTGTCGCCCAGGCTGGAGTGCAGTGGCACAATCTCAGCTCACTGCAAGCTCCACCTTCCAGGTTCATGCCATTCTTCTGCTTCAGCCTCCTGAGTAGCTGGGACTACAGGTGCCTGCCACTGCACCCAGCTAATTTTTTGTATTTTTAGTAGAGATGGGGTTTCACCGTGGTCTTGATCTCCTGATGTTGTGATTCACCTGCCTCGGCCTCCCAAAGTGCTGGGATTACAGGTGTGAGCCACCGTTTTCTCTTTTTTGATGTAGGCACTTATAGCTATAAACTTCCCTCTTAGTCCTGGTTTTGCTGTATCTCATAGGTTTTGGTATGTTGTGTTTCCATTATCATTTGTTTCAAGAAAATTTTCGATTTCCTTCTTAATTTCTTCATTGACCCACTGGTCATTCAGGAGCATATTGTTTAATTTCCATGTGTTTGCATAGTTTTCAAAATTTCTCTTGTTATTAATCTCTAGTTTTATTCCACTGTGGTCAGAGAAAATGCTTGACATTATTTAAAATTTTTTGAATGTTTTAAGACTTGTTTTGTGACCTAACATATGGCCTATCCTTGAGAATGATGCATGTGCTAAGAAAAAGAATGTGTAATCTGAAGCCATTGGATGAAATGTTCTGTAAATATCTATTAGATCCATTCAGTCTGTAGTGCAGATTAAGTCTAATGTTTCTTTGTTGATTTTCTGTCTGGAAGATCTGTCCAGTGCTGAAAGTCAAGTGTCTCAAAGTCTCCAGCTATTGTTGTATTGGGGCCTATCTCTCTTTTTAGCTCTAATAACATTTGCTTTGTGTATCTGGGTGATCCAGTGTTGGGTACTTATATATTTAAAATTGTTATATCCTCTTGCTGAATTGACCCCTTTATCATTAGTGATCTTCTTTGTAGCTTCTTACGGTTTTTGTTTTGAAATCTATTTTGTCTTATATAAGTATAATTTCTCCCACTGTTTTCTGGTTTCCATTGGCATGGAATGTCTTTTTCCATCCCTTTATTTTTAGCCTATATGTGTCTTTATGGGGGAAGTGTGTTTCTTGTAGGCAGCAGATCAATGGGTCTTGTTTTTTCATCCATTCAGTCAGTCTGTGTCTTTTGATTAGAAAGTTTAGTCCATTTACATTCAGTGATGTTATTGATAAGTAAGAACTTACTCCTTCCATTTTGTTGCTTGTTTTCTGATTATTTTATGGTCTTCTCTTCTTTCTTTCTTTCCTTTCTGTCTTCCTTTAGTGAAAGGTGATTTTCTCTGGTGATATGATTTAGTTTCTTGCTTTTTATTTTTTTGTGTCTCTGTTGTATGTTTTTTGGTTTGAGATTACCATGAAGCTTACAAATACTATCTTATAACCCATTATTTTAACCTCATAACAACATAACACTGTTTGCGTATTCAAGCAAAAAATAAAAAATACGAACTCTATGCCATAACTTTGTTTCCCTGATTTTTAACTTTTTGTTGTTTCTATTTATATCTTGTACTGTGATATGGAGTTAAAACCAGGTACTATGAGGGCTCACCTGATTTTTGGTTCTTATGAAGGTGTTTTTTCTGTATAGATAGTTATTAACTTGGTGTCCTTGGATGGGTGATGATAGGTGGAGCCTTCTAGTCCGACATCTTGCTGCTCATCTTCCTTCTCCTGCTCCTCCTCCTTTATCTTCTTCTTATTGTTATTATTATTATTTCCCTTTACCAATTAGGAAACTGAAGCAAAAAAGGGGTTAAACAATTTATCTGTGGTGGCACAGTTAGTAACCTTTAGAGCTGGGAGTCAAATCCAGGCATTTTGCTTCCAGTATCTGTGCTTTAAGTGCTCCATGGCTTCACTGCTTACATTCATAAATAATAGATTATTCTTCCTTTAGGCTTGGGCTGGGGCTGCTTTCACATTTACAGTGCCATGGGGACTGGGGCAGGAAGAGAGTGACATAATTTCCACTGAAACCTTATGCTTGCTAATTTCCCACCTTTCCTCCCTTCTTCTCAAACAGATACCACGTCCTTGGGTTGGAGCCCCTTCTCTACTCACGTTGGACATAGAATCACTTTTCCAATCAGGTGAAGAATGAAGGATGCCCTGGAATGAATTTGTGAAGGGGTGTGTGTGTGTGTGTGTGTGTGTGTGTGTGTGTGTGTGAGAGAGAGAGAGAGGAGACAGAGAGAGAGAAAGTGTGTATGTGCATGGTGGGGAGTTCCAGGTAGACAGAACTGTGAATGTAAAGCCTCTATTTTTGAGTCCACAGAAAGCATCTATTTCATGAGTATTATTCTACATAATACATTGAACACATTGTGTTAACTCATTAAGGCAAAGTAAAATTGCAAATTTTGTTCTTTAAAAAAATTATGAACTAATAAACTTCGTTAAAATCTTTTCTCTGCACCTATCAGAATTTGTAGGAGGCAAGTGCACGCAGTCACTGTCATGTGACACTTCTCTTGTACAAACTCCTCTTCCACTTTCTGTACAGGCACATAATAAAATTCTCTTTTCTCCATAATATATGAAACTGGGAAAGTACTGGTGACATTTTGCAATATGGTATAACAACTGGTGAGTTTGGGAAGTAATGATGTAATTGAATTAGGCAAAACTGCTAAAATCCTTATTTTTTCCCATGGAATTCTGCCAACATTTCATTTTCTGTAATTCTGCAGAAGTAATATGAAACAAAATTGGACTTTTTCATCAACTGGAGAAATTGAAACATGTTTATTTAATTGTTATGGCATGCAAGATATTTTCTCAAGACTTCCAGTTAGAAGGGAATCAGAAATTTTGACCCTTTTTTGAAATTCTTGAAAAAGCCCTCAAATTGTAGGAAAATGAAAGTGGTAAGTAAATGCCCATTAAGTAATCATGAAGTGAGAGTTTCTAGAAAGTGAAGAATCTGGGTAAAACAAAGTTGTTCTTAATAACAGAGATTAGAGGCCACATGGCAATGATAGTAATAAAGCAGCAAGAATAATGCTGCCCCAGACACTCTCCGGCGGCTTCAGACAGGTGGACTGATCTGAGCACTGAGAACATTTAAGTGTGGGAAACATTTTACTCCAGCTTTAACTTCTTAATACAAGCTCCAGTTCCACGTGTCCCACTCATGCCAACTGCCAGCACCACCAAAGCCCTTAAAAGTTTCCTTGTCTTAATGGCTTCCACTCTCCCCTCCTCTCAGGCACCCATCATCCCTGACTCAAACCTGTAGACAAGCCAGACCAAGTTACGTCTCTTCAGAAAAGGAGCAGCTTGAACCATTCTACCCACTTCCAGCCTGGCTTCTAAATCTGGGGTCTCTTTGATAATACTCTCAGCCCAGTGGAGAGGAAAGTCTACTGGGGACAGCTAAAATTTGGCCTACCCTTCCTAGCACAGCCAGTCCAGAAGCCATGGGCCTGGAGATGGAATGAGTCCAAGTTCTTCCAAAGGCTTTTGTTTGAGAAACACTGGCTTAACTATGAAACAGCATTCTCTGCTGAGCTGAGAAATAGCCCCCCTGCCACCACCACCCAGGGAAGTCCATAGTAAGAACCCTTAGGAAATGGAAGAGGAACAGGTTAGAAACCTAGGTGATTTTCAGGGGCGCTAAGTGGAAATCTTATATTTTTGTGATTACAAAAAATGTTTCAGTCACATTCAAGTTCATGTGTAGTCAGTGCCGAAATGGAGACATGAGGTCTTAAACTGGGATGCATGAAATCCTTGAAATTGTACATAAAAGTTTGTGGTTGGGGGGTGTGGGTGGGGTATGTGTAAGCATTTTTTGAAAACTGAATCCATATCCTCCATTGATTTCTCAAAGGAGTCTGCAACACCTCCTTCACCTCCACTGCCACCAAAGTTAAGAACCAGTGACTTAAAGGGATTGTAGACTTTTCTTCAGCTGGAAAGAATCTTGGATAGTATTTAGTTCATTTTTGCTCCTTTAAAAATTTTTCTGACATAAAATTGAGTCTGATTAACATGGGCTGTTTTATAAATGTTGAAGTCTTCTAGGCTTTTTCTCTTCTGAAACACCTTCCAGATGGGTCTTGGAACATGCCTTGTGATGACATCAAGTAGGGCTGTGGTGATGGATCTACCCATGTAGATGCATCTATACGTGATCGTCTACCCGTGTGTGCCAGAAGGGCTGCTGAGGAGGTGGCAGGCACACTCCTGTCCTCTGGTTTATTTTCATGTGTTTTAACTTGGAGCACAAAGATAGGATTGTGGTTCAGAACTCCAAGCCCCTGCATTTCAAAGGGAACTAGTGAGATTCATCCTTATGAGAAGAACCTGGCAAGGCCCCACAAATGACTTCACTGTGATGATTTTCATGGCCCAACTTTACCCTGAATATTATTACACATTTATTTCTTTTGCTTTTATGCTTAAAGCAGCTCAACAATGCATAATTCAAGATGATTATGGCTTGCAAAACCCTGTTTTCTCAACACAAATACTTAGAAAAGAAATCAGCTTGATACTTGGCACCCTTCACTGCAGCTGGGGTCACTCCTCCCAAGTCAGGTGTTTTCATTCAGTGAATGGATGTTACATATGAAGAGCAGAATGAGAAAACCACAGAATTCCAATCTCCACAGGAGATTTTGCTGGGGTGAGATGGGAAGCAGAATAGTCAGTTGATTCTTTGAATGTCTAAGTTAGATGTGAGGCCTTCTTATTAAGTAGAGTAGAAAATACTTGGCAACCATTCGCTATAAGGGTGGAGGTGAGGGGAGAAGTTAAAGATGACTCCCAGGCTTCTGATTTGGTAACTGAGGCCCACGAATGGAAGAAACTTGGGGATATATAAATGGGTCCCATTATGGATATGTTGCATTTGGATCCAGGTGGGCAATTTGGTGTGCAGTTCAATATGAGGGTCTGAAGGAGTGGGTTGGGCTAGAGATAGGATTTGGGAGCTATCAGTAAACCTACAGCCTATGCACCACTGGGAGTTAAAGAAGAGGGTTTCAAAAAGGAGAGCAATGATGCCAAGTATCTCAGAGGAGTCAACTAAGAAAGAACAAACTATTCCCTGGGTTAAACAATGAGGAAGTCATTGATGACCTTAGGACAAGCAGTTTCTGTGAATTTGAAGAGGCAGAAGGAAAGTCATATCTGATGGAGGACCTCTCCAGAAGCCCAGATAAAAAGAAGACAAATTGGAGTGATAGCTAAAAGAGGAATGTAGAATGGTGAGAGTTTTACCTGTAATTTTTTAGATTTAAAGAGACTTGAATATGATGAGAAGAAACCAGAAGGAGGGGAAAGTTGAAGAAACAGGAGAGCAAATGAATCATTGATGGAACAAATTCCTGGATGGATATGGCGAAGAGTAAATTCAAGAGCGGTGACACAAGAACAGTGGTGACACTGGCCTTGACACATTCGTCCTCCAAGACACCCGGGAAGGAAAACAGAGATGCAGATAAGCTTGTGAGTGGGGAGTGGGAACTGAGGAAGCTCATCCCTGGTCATCTCAGTTTTATCAGTTAAAGAAAGTAGGGGTACTTAGGATAGGCTAGGGAGCATGAGAAGAATGGCAAAAGTTTGGACCTATCATGGAGAAGAGGGGAAAAGGGTAACTGACCAGAGACACAGATACAGATGGCTAGAAGCACTGAGGACCCAGATGAGACTGGAAATCCTAAATGTATAGTAGTAGCACCAGTCCACCTAGCTGTGTGTATTTCTCTGACACTTGGCTACCAGTGGGTAGCATGGAAGAAGATGGATATGTTTGGGTTAATCCAGGGTTGGAGATTTATAAGACAGGTTTAATAGAAGGGGGTAAAAGAGATAAGGAAGCTGGGTTTTCTCGGTAGAAAGTAGTTGAAGTGATAAGAATGGGACCTGGGCAGGAAAGGGAAGAAAATGAAACAGGAAAGGATGATACAAAACAGAAGACTAGGGTAAAATGAAGTATACAATTTGCTGAAGATCTTATGAAGATCAAAGAACAGGTATAATCAGAGTAGGGATGAAAAGTTCTAGAAAGACAGGATAGTATGGTCAGAGAATTCCTGGAATAAAATGTTGTGGTTTTTTTTTCCAAAACATTTTACCACTATTTCCATGTTATACTGTAAGTTTGAAAAATGTATTACAAGGTCATCTCCAGGCGTTGTGGAATGGAGTGGCCAACCTCCTTCAGAGCAACATGCCCAAGTCTTATTGTGTCTACTACAATATGTAGCTCTCCCATGACTTGCCATCTGTGAGAAAGGCCCACTTCAGTGGTAGGAAACACAAAGAGAATGTGAAAGACTACTACCAAAAATGGAGAGAAGAACAGTCAGACCCTGATTGACTAAACAATGGCTGCATTTCATCCAGGAAAGATACCTCCTACTCTATTCTCTGCTCCTCCTCTGCAGGGGCAATGATACCCCCTCCCCCCAGCCTTCCAGGTCCTCTTTGCCCAAGTATAATGCCAGCACCCCATATGCGAGCCCTCCCATGATGCCAATGATGGGCCCTCCTTTCCGTGGGATGATGCCAGTGGGACTTGCTCCTGGAATGAAGCCACTCATGGGAGGTCACATGTCAATGATAAGGCCTCCCGCCTGTCCCATGATGGTGCCTGCTTGGCCTAGAATGACTTGACCAGATGGTTAAGGATAGTGCAGAGGCCTTGTGTATCAGGTTTATATTACTTGTTCTACTTCACTAGGAGACCATGGTGCTGTGACTCTGGGTGTTTTCTTAACAGCGCGATAAGGAAGACTTTCTCTCTTTTCTTATCAAAGAGAGAATAGTTTTGGAGGGGAGAAGTGGGACCAAAAAAAAGTAGTTTTTATTTGTATTGTGAAATGTGAAAATAAAATTGTTAACTCTTTTCATAAAAAAGCAACTACAACAACCAAAAAACCCCAAAATGTATTACAAGTGAAAGTGTCTATGTTTGGTAACTTAAATTTGTTATTTTGTATTATCTGTGCCTTTGGCTCTCTTCCATATGATAATCCCATTCTCTTTTCATTGAACTAGGAAAATGTAGATCAGGTCTTAAGAGTATCATATTTCTAATGCTTTCACTATTTTATATGTACAGTGATATTATTATTATTATTTTAAATAAAAGCTCTTGAGAAAGAAGCTAGTGTTTTCTATTTCAGCTGTTTCAGCAGCTGCTGTAAAGATAAGCAAGCTTTCAATATACCTGCTTCCTCTGACTTTTCCTTTCCCCTAAATTTAAGTCGATTATAGGAAAAAATGTAACCTATAAAGCTGAGGAGGACAGATCACATCAATAGAACCCGCATGACAGGTGACTAATGGTAACAAAGTGGACCCATGGGATGATGGGGAAAGTTAGGGAGGCTGTGCATACCTTCATGACCTAGATTGGAAGCTGAGCCTGAAACCTAGTTAGATACATATGGGTTGGAGGTGCATTGCACATAAATGAAGTACTAGTCACTTCCATTCCATCTAAGGCTGCTTCAGCTGTACTTTTGGAAGAGATGTTAAGAATTAAATGTGTGCATTATTTAAACATAATTTGGTAGAAAAGCAAATATTTTATTTGTTGTGCCTCATTTTGCTAAAATAAGTGTTTAGCAAGTGTGGAGGTTAGGTGAAAATGCAAATGGAATTATAGGTAATGGATTACAGTCCCATTTGTGGAGAATTAAGAATCCCATTTGTGGAGATGAAGAGAATTAAGAATTAAGAAATTTTATTAGTTAATAGGACTAGGCTGCATCTCGAGAATTCTGTTCACTTGTGTTACAATGGACAGAATAAAGGTGGACTACCATGGTGTAGGGAGAAAATAGCAGAAGAAGAAACCAGCCAGGCGCGGTGGCTCACCCCTGTAATCCCAGCACTATGGGAGGCCGGAGTGGGCAGATTACCTGAGATCAGGAGTTCGAGACCAGCCAGGCCAACGTGGTGAAACCTTGTATCTACTAAAAATACAAAAATTAGCTGGGCGTGGTGTTGGGCACCTGTTGTCCCAGCTACTTGGGGGACTGAGGCAGGAGAATCGCTTGAACCCGGGAGGCAGATATTGCAGTGAGCCGAGATCGGGCCACTGCACTCCAGCCTGAGTGACAGAACGAGACTCTGTCTCAAAAAAAAAAAAAAAAAGCAAAACATTTATCACTGGGTTTGCTATCACTGGCTAGCTCAAACCAGCTAGCAAGAAGATTCTTGTTCCTTTGTCAAGCATATTCCTACAAGATTAAGAGTAGGGATGATGCCTTGTCAATAGGAAGTGCTTAGGTAAATTGCAGGTCTGTTCTCACCTTCTTTCCTTTGATGGAGAGTGTTGCTGGTTGCCACATCTCATGACTTTAACATCATCTAATTCCCATGCCCATGCTCATCAAACCATCTGTTAGTGGTAATTTGCCTATGTAGACTTTTCTAAAAAAAAAAAAAAAAAAAAAAGGGGAAAGGTGTGGGGGGTGGGGCAGGGGCAATTCCTTGGCATGCTGACATGAATACTCCTGTTTGCTTAGCAATTTTGTCTGTCCTTGTAACTAACAGAATAACATTGTAGTTTATTTACCAGTTTATTGTGAGATGACTAATTAGGGTGAGTTGCTGCCCCCTGATTCTGATGAAGTTGGGAAGGGAAATGTAAATTTCTTCACCTTTAAAGAAGATCAGCAGGCCTGGATTTTACAGTAGCACTGCCATTAGAGAAGCCCCATATGAGCTACTGCCAATCTCTGTCTTAGATATTTTCTCTCTCTCTCTGTCTCTCTCTTTTTGAGATGGAGTCTCACTCTGTTGCCCAGGCTGGAGTGCAGTGGCAGCACGATCTTGACTCGCTGCAACCTCCACCTCCCAGGTTCAAGCAATTCTCCTGCCTCTGCCTCCTGAGTAGCTGGGATTACAGGTGCCCGCCACCATGCCCAGCTAAGTTTTGTATTTTTAGTAGAGACCAGGTTTCACCATGTTGGCCAGGCTGGTCTTGAACTCCTGACCTCAGGTGATCTGCCTGCCTTAGCCTCCCAAAGTGCCAGGATTACAGGCGTGAGCCACTATGCCTGGCCTTAGATTTTTTTTTTGTCTATCTCAACAAATGTCATGTATGGCTTCTCAAATCATATGTTGTTACCTCTTATTCTGGTTTCAATACTAAAATTCCACTAAATTGCCTGTAATTCAAATATCCTAGACCTGGACAAGGGGCCCTGTTGTGAGGCAGTGGGGCTCAGGCTTCATTCCCATCCAGAATGCTTGTGACAATGCATATTCCAGGCTTCCCATAGAAATACTGTGTCAGTACATTCAGGTAGAACCTGGACTCTGCACTTTTAGCATCACTGATTCTGATACACGGAGTGGACAGACCACACTTTGAGAAACTTCTTTAGATTGAGGTGCTAGCTCATTTGTGACTATGAGCTCTAAAAGGGATATTTTCTGTTCCTGAGAGCCATGGGTTCCTTCCCTGACCAGAGTGAAGTTCAATGCACACAGAGAAAGGGAAGTGGGGGGAAATGAAGCCAATATGGAGTAACAAAGGAGAGAAAGAACTGGTGCTGGCCCCAGGAAGAAGCTGGAAGATTTTCTGCAAGAACTCAAGCTGTTTGCCTAAGGGACTGGTTCTGGTCATGGGGCGAGACAATTTTGTCTTCCTGACAGGTGGGATCTGTTGCCACACTCCTTTGCACAGAGGCAGACTTCAAGTTTTATGGGATTTTTAATTTGGCAAAGACTTCTTTGGCAAAGGTCAGAGACTCCCTCAAGCTGTCCCAAATCATGGTGGTCACATGTTGCGTTCTAAACATGCATGTGACAGTAGGCCTTCTTTCTCTTGTTCTAGAGACCAAAAATGATAGGGATTTCTCATCCATATCTAGTGCTGGAAATCTTTATTACACTTGGCAATCTGATCCAGAGAACTGTAGAATGCTAGAACTAGGGCCAATTCACGGAGTCTGGTTGAGCCCCTCCTTGTTTTAAAGATGCAGAAACAAAGGTAGAGGAAGGATGCATGATTCACCAAAGTCAAACAAACTCTTAGAGCAAGAGCTGGGACCAGAAGGTCTCCTGACGTCAGTGCCGAGAACTCCACTTTCTGCTCCCAAACCACAACTATGAGATTCTCCAAGATCCCCAAGTGTCTTCTGAATCAGCACAGAAACAGTTAGATATGTTGTTTTGATAATTAAGCATATTTTGTCATACGGGTGACAGATACTATCCGCTGTTTTGCAGTTCGATTTTGTCCATTTAACTACATAATTCCTCACTGGCATAAAAAACCCATTTTTGTGTTTGTGGCTGTTCTCATCAGTGACTCTTCCAAGGTAGCATTTCTCCTAAACAAAGTGCAGTTGTCATCTAGTGGCTCAATGATAGCAATACAATTTCCTGCAAAAGCTTTGTATGTAGTCCCTATGGAATTGGAGAAGTTTCATGACCTGGAAGAGAACCTTCTGGATCATCAGGTCCAATACCTTCATGTTACAAGTGGGTAAAATGAGGCTCCAGAGGGTGAAGTGACTTGCTGAAGCCCTCATAGTAGGCCAGTGGCGGTCAGGAGGAGCCCTTGACCACACTGAGTACACACATTGGCATTACCTGGTCCCATGCTCTTGCAGTACAACACGTGCTCCTGAAAGGCAGGGAGGTGTCGGGACTCTGGAGTGCCTGGCCCAATGCCGGATGCACAGTAGTGCCCAATGCCTATGTGATGGGTGAGTGAGCCCTTCATGACCAGCCTTGTTTGCCAGCCTCTGTTGTTTCTTTCATATGCCATCAGGCGAAAGCAGTTCTCCCCACAAAGGAGGCCCCATCAACTTGGTGGAGGTGGAGGTGGCTGGTTGGGGTTGGACACCTGCTTCAGTCAAGTCTGCTGAACAGTGTAGTGGCTTCCAGCTGGCTAGGGGGTGCTTTCTGCCTCACCTGCAGCCTCATACTTCTGCACCCTTTCTGGTTGAGAATCTCTTGCCCAGGACACTTTTGTGTTCAGAGTGAATTTCCTGACAAGTAGCAAATTTAAGTGTCCCCTGCCAGAAGCGCACTGAGCATGCAGAGCCCCATCCCTTTTATTTTTAATGTGCATCAGTATGAGGCAGTCCCAAAGAGGGTGCTCTGGGCAGAGCTCAGCAAACATCTGGCCTGTGGAAGAGGCCTCAGCAACACAGCTCTGGAAGGAGGTGGGAACAGGCAAGAGCTTTGAAAGGCTGCAGATGGTGAGGGTGCCAGGGTGACAGACTGTGGGTGGCAGTTTTCTTTGTATTCCAAATAGGCTGAGGATTTTCTCTCCTTTCACTGTAATCCCTGGAAGAAAATGGGGACAGGAAGAGTAGCAGGCAGAGGCAAATTTCTTATCCTGGGGTCTGTGGATGGGCTTCCAAAGAGGCTTGAGTTCTGAAGCCCTTGGAATTTGTATAGAATTGTATAAATTTTGTGTCCATGTATGTTTTTCATAACAGAAGGTTTCTTTTATCAGCTCCTTAAAGGAGTACATGACCCAAACATGTCAAGATCCACTGGTGTAAAGATCAAATCCATCTCTAAGCTCTTTAGAATGAATCAGTTGTCTCATTCTGGAGGAAAAGATTCAACCACAATTCTCATTTCTCCTGCTACCCTTCTCACCCATACCTGATGTCATTTTTAAAAGGATGTGTGCACATAGAAAACAAGTACATAAGGAAAATCCTACTTTCTTTTATAACGGGTACATATTTAAGTTCCAAACTGAGGCATGCAGAAAATATGTTTCTTTTTCTTTTCTAAAATTCACACTGATTTCTGTTTTGAGCCCCCATTCTATTTATATGGCAGAGACTTAATCTTGATGTTAGGGATTTTCTATTACTCTCTCCATCCCAGGGGATTGTGTCTCAGTTCTGAGCTGGGGCACCAGATGTAATAGGAAACATCCCATCTTCTATGCCTTTGGTCCACCAAGGCATCTGCTGAGATCCAACCTTCATGCCATTGGGTCCTTAGCTGTGGACCATACGTGTCACACTGAGCTTTCCATCTGCTGGTCCTGGCCTCAGCACACTTCCCACAAACATCAGGCCTGTCGGAAGACATCCTTAGCCATGGACCACACATGTCACCCCTGAGCTGTCCATCTGCTGGTCCTGAGCTCAGCAGATCTCCCACTATCTTTACGATGAGTCTCTGGAGCTGCATGGGGCTCTGCATAAGCTAAAGCTTCACAGTCTTGCTGTCTTCCCAGGCCCCTTTGGCCCAGGAAAGGGGGTACAGGGCTCTTCTTGTTCAGGTCCACCATTTATTTTTTCAAGAAGAAGGTGGAAAGTTTCGGTTGGTGCAAACCTTTCTGATTTCAAATGTTGAAAATCAATTCATTTTGGAAAAGTATCACCGCAGGGCCAACAAAACACATCTGTGACTCAGTTTTGCCCTAAGCGCTACCACTTTGCAGCCTCTGTCCTAAAGGCTTAGAATTCTAGAAGCCAAAGCAGGGGTGACACCCCTCTTTTTAAAAATGTTACTTTAAGTTCTGGGATACAGAATGTGTGCAGGTTTGCTATATAGTTATACATGTGCCATGGTGGTTCCTGCACCTATCGACCCATCATCTAGGTTTTAAGCCCCACATGCATTAGGTATTTGTCCTAATGCTCTCCCTCTCCTTGTCCGCCACCCCCAACAAGCCCTGGTGTGTGCATCCATGTGTTCTCATTGCTTAACTTGCATCCATGTGTTCTCATTGTTTAAATCCCACTTATGAGTGAGAACATGCAGTGTTTGGTTTTCTGTTCCTGTGTTAGTTTGCTGAGGATGATGGCTTCCAGCTTCATCCATGTCCCTGCAAAGGACATGAACTCATTCTCTTTTATGTCTGCATAGTATTCCATGGTGTGTATGTACATTTTCTTTATCCAGTCTATCATTGATGGGCATTTGGGTTGGTTCCATGTCTTTGCTATTGTAAATAGTGCTGCAATAAACATACATGTGCATGTGTCTTTACAGTAGAATTATTTCTATTCCTTTGGGTATATACCCAGTAATGGGATTGCTGGGTCAAATGGTATTTCTGGTTCTAGAAACCTGAGGAATCACCACACTGTCTTCCACAATGGTTGAACTAATTTATAATCCCACCAACAGTGTAAAAGTGTTCCTATTTGTCTGCAACCTCACCAGCATCTATTGTTTCCTGACTTTTTAATAATTGCCATTCTGACTGGCATGAGATAGACACCGTTTTTTTCTGCTTTCAAATGTGTCATAACTCTTCCCAAGGCCATAAACTCAGAATTGTCTACTTACTTGAACAGAAGCAAAGGGCATAGGGGAGATATCTGGGGGCAAAACATTGGTTACTATTTCTAATTTATTATCCTTCTACACCTTGATGTTGAGCTTGTAAAAACAGATTCTATATTTTGAAAAAGTAAGCTTCTTCCATATCCAAGAAAAAAGACTTGTAATTGGACATATTTTTCAATAAAGTAATCCTACAAAGCAAATGTTTTCTATGGAATTGTAGAGCTTTATATTGGGTCTCTTGAATGATGTTTAAATCCAATCCCGGAGACTGGGTTATATGAATGAGACAACTGAAGCCCAGAGAGGTAAGTTGCTTGGCCTTGGTCACCTAGCAAGTCACTGCCAGCCAGATATGCAGTCTCTCTCAACTGTTTGTCTAGCACCTCCTCCCAGACAAGCCAAGGCCCATGGCACTACGCTCTGCTTGGAGTGGGAGTCGGATGTGGCACGGGAATGAGGGCGATGGTGGAATGCAGCACTTAAAGCCAAGTTAGGAAGACCCAAGAGGCAATGGCCCCAGGAGAAGTCAAGTCAAAGGGCACTGACAGCCCAAAGGCAGCCACCCCCAAAAGGGACCCAGGAAAGAGGAAGAATCAATGGACAGGCACCAGGTCAGAAACCAGGGAAATCAGCCCAGCAAACATTGGGCAGGACCCAGAGCTGTCATAGGACCCGAAGCTTTCTGTAGGGGGGCAGAGGCCTTGGGAAGATGGGTGGAAAGGCCCGTCAGTGAAACCAAAGCAACTAGGACACTTCGTACCATAGTTGGGAGGTGCCTCAAAGGGACACTTCTGCCAGAAAGATCTTAAAATAACTTCGAATTCAATTACTCTTCTTCTTAAGACTATCTAGGAATTTCCTGTTGCCTATAGGATAAAATTCTAACTTCAAGCTTGTCCAACCCGTGGGCCGTGGGCAGCATGCAGCCCAGGATGGCTTTGAATGTGGCCCAACACAAATTTGTAAACTTTCTTAAAACATTATGAGATTTTTCTGCAATTTTTTTTTTTGGCTCATCAGCTATCATTAGTGTTAGTGTGTTTTATGTGTGGCCCAAGATAATTCTTCTTCTTCCAGTATAGCCAAGGGAAACCGAAAGATTGGATACCCCTGTTCTAACTCTTTGTATGCCACATTCTTTATACCCCATGTACATTTCTAGTATCTTTCAATACCATTACCCAACCTTTTGATGCTCTAGCCCAAAGTGGTTTTTCACCCCAGTGGTTTTTCAGCACTATCACGACTTTCTAAGGTGCAGGAGAACCATGCAGAAGACTTGAAAAGACAGATTGCCGGATCTCCAACCCGAGTTTCTATTTCAGTAGATCTGGAATGGGCCCTGAAAATCTGTATTTCTTCTGGGTTCCCAGGTGATGCTGATGGTACTGGCACCATACTTTGAGAACCACTGTTCTATCCACTTGCTAGAATGTGCTGTGGGCCAGCAGCATCAGCATCACCTGGGAGCTTGTTAGAAACGCAGGTTCTCAGGCCCACCCCAGGCCTATTGGATTAGAATTTATACATGTGTATATATATATGTATATATAAAATTTCAATGGCTTTTGGGGTTTGGGGTTGCATGGATGAATTATATAGCAGTGAATTCTGAGATTCTAGTGCACTTATTATCCGAGTATTGTACATTGTACCCAATATGCAGTTTTTTATCCCTCACCTCCCTCCCCCTTCTGAGTCTCCAAAGTCCATTATATCACTCTGTATGCATTTGCAAACTCATAGCTTAGCTCCCACTTATAAGTGAGAACACATGGTTTTTGGTTTTCCATTTCTGAGTTACTTCACTTAGAATAATGGCCTCTAACTCCATCCAAGTTGCTACAAATAAAACATTATTTTGTTCCTTTTTATGGCCAAACAGTATTCCATGGTGTATATATACCACATTTTCTTAATCCATTCATTGGTCGATGGACACTTAGTTTTTTCCATATCTTTGCAATTGTGAATTGTGCTGCTATAAACATACATGTGTGTGTCTTTTTCATATAATAACTTCTTTCTCTTTGGGTAGATACCCAGTAGTGGGCTTGCTGGATTGAATGGTAGATCTATTTTTAGTTCAAAAGATCCTCAGGTGATTCTTATATTAAAATTTGAGAAGTACTGTTCTATACTGTTCTAGCCTAATTATTCTTGACTGTGGCTGCACCTTAGAACCACCCAGTGAGTCTTTTTTTTTTTTTTTTTTTTAGATGGAGTCTCGCTCTGTCGCCAGGCTGGAGTGCAGTGGAATGATCTTGGCTCACTGCAACCTCCGTCTCCCAGGTTCAAGCAATTCTCCTTTCTCTGCCTCCTGAGTAGCTGGGACTACAGGCATGTACTACCACGCCCAGCTAATTTTTTGTATTTTTAGTAGAGATGGGGTTTCACCATGCTGGCCAGGATGGTCTCAATCTCTTGACCTCGTGATCCTCCTGCCTCGGCCTCCCAAAATGCTGGGATTATGGGCGTGAGCCACCACATCCGGCCCAGAGAGTCTTAAAATTTTATGCAGGACTGGGCTTCACCCCCAAAAGATTCTAGTTTAATCGAGCTGGTGGTAGGGTCACGGTGTCTGTCATTTTGAAGGTTCTCCTGGTAATCTTAATAAGCAGCAAGATGTGTATTAAGGACTGCTGCAGCCACACAGAACAACCACCTCTCTCCAAACCGTGCAGCTGCTTTCCCTGTTTTTATTCTGCACATGCTTTCCCTGCAGCCTGCAACAAAACTTCTACTCATTCTTCACAACCCAGGTTACCAAACCTCCTCTGGGAAGATGTCCCTAGAGTTTTTTCCAGCAGAGTTAACTCTTTCCTTTGTTTGAGTTCACTCTTTGTGTGTACTCGGTTGTAGCATAGATTATATTGAATTGTAATTATGTATTTTTAATGTCTTTTTTCCTCAGTAGGGAAAACTAAGTTGCGACTATCTTTGGGACAGAGAATCTGGCTTATTTACTTTTTTTTAAACTGCAGAACCTTTTATATAGTTGGTTCTCTATAAATAATTGATGATTGAATGAACGAGTTAAGTCAAGCTTTGACCAATCCAAGTAAGTATCCTTCAGGTGTCCTCAGTCCTCCAAGCATCTGCACCAGAAAGTTACCCCCAACCCCACCAACTCTTTACAGTCCACACAAAGAAAACAAAAGAAGGCCAACAAGCAAACAACAAACACCCCAGAAACAGATGTGTGCATAATAGTACACGTCCTGGCTACCACAGAAGAAATATCAGGAAGAAATTGTAAGATCCATAAGGGCAGGAATTTTTTGTTGGTTTTGATCTTTGCTGTATTTCCAGCACCTAGCCAAGTGCCTGGCCTACAGAAAGTGCTAGATTGAATGACAGATGTTGAATAAATGGATCATTGTAATACAGTTTTCCTGTCTCCTCTTCCTTTCTCCTTCATCACTCAGTCCATGACACTGGTCTCTGTTTTGAATGCTGCACTTATGCCAAGACAGGCTCAGTAGGAGCTCCCTTTAAGGATGCTCTAGTTTTAAAATTTTTCTGATTGATATGGTTTGGATCTGTGTCCCTACCAAATCTAATATCGAATTGTAATCCCCAGTGTTGGAGGTGGGGCCTGGTGGGAAGTGACTGGATCCTGGGAACAGGGTTCTCATGAATGGTTTAGCACCATCACCCCTTGGTACTGTAGAGTGAGTGAGTTCTCACAAGACCTGGTTGTTTGAAAGTGTGTAGCACCTCCCCACCAACTCTGGTTCTGTTCCTGCCATGTAAGATGCCTGCTTCCACTTTGCCTTCCACCATTAGTAAAAGCTCCCTGAGGCCTCCCCAGAAGCAGATGCTGCCATGCTTCCTGTGCAGCTTGCAGAACCATGAGCTAACTAAATGTCTTTTCTGTGTAAATTACCCAGTCTCAGGTATTTCTTCATAGCTGTGCGAGCTGACCATGGTATTTGCAGGCAAAGTGTGAATCAATTTCCGGTAATATCCTATGTGCCTCCTAGAGATACATTAAACTTTCAGACTGGATATAATATAGTGTGAGGATTTTAACTTTTTTTCACTATTGACCCTTACCCCAACACACACACACACCCTCTGAGGGAAGCGCCTGAGTCATTATGCATCAAGCAAAACTCAGGCTTGGTAAGCTGGAACTCCACAACAAGCTCCTCCCTGAAGTACTCAGAAGCACCTCTGCCCAGGGCTGAATCAGCACTGAATCTGATGATCTCTTGATGGCTGCTTGTCTTGCTGAATAGCTGACAGAGAGTGACAGAATTTTAGAGCTGGAAGAAGTCTTAGAGATCATCTGGTTTAACCCCACGTATTTGATGGATGAGGAGGCTGAGATTCAGAGACATATCACACCCCCAAAGTAACACAGCTCATTAGTTGCTGAATAAGAGCATCAGCTTGTCTCCTAGCTTCTGGTCATCTGTATTTTCTGTTTACCTTATTACCAGCTGTAAAATCTGCATTATGCTGTGTCTAAATCATTTAATGTAGGAATGGAAAGTTATTCTCTGTTCATTATGATCACAAAAGAATGTTTTTTCTCTTCTTCTTTTTTCTTCTTTCTTCTTCTTCTTCTTTTTTTTTTTTTTTTTAACAGGGTCTCTCTCTGTGTTGCCCAGGCTGGAGTGCAGTGGCGTGATCACTGCAGCCTAGACCTCCTGGGTTCAAGCAATTCTCCCATCTCAGCCTTTCGAGTAGCTGGGACCACAGGCATGTGCCACTACACCTGGCTAATGTTTTTATTTTTTGTGGAGATGGGGTCTCCGTATGTTGCCCAGCCTCAAAAAAAGGACTTTGAAGGAGAGTTATGATCCCTCAGAAATCAGTCCCTTCTAGTTATAAGTGAGGTTAGACATGCATTGGTCTCATTTTGAAAAAACAGATGGTGACAGGGATTATTTATTTATTTAGGTATCCAGCTGAAGGCATTAGCCTACATTTAAGTTTTTCTTAAAAGCTTTTTCCAGGTTTAGATCTTCACAAAGAAATAAAACCAAAACACTTATGTCTTAACCGAGCTGATTTACCCACTATCTTCCAAATACACTTTATATTTGTAGAATATCCTTTTCTCCCTAATCCAATACTTCTATCCTCACTGACCTCTACACAGTCACATCCTACATGATTTTCCAAACCCAGTTAAATTTCCTCTATTTTTCAAATGTACTCTTGACCATCTGCCTTGCCTGGAATAATATCTTCTCTTTTTTCTTTAACATTTTAAGAGAATTTAATAGTTATAATGTATTTTTATTTTGTTGTATGTTAGAAAATATATATTACTAGCATATCATACTCATTTCACAGCTTTTTTAAAAAGGTGATTTAGTTGAAGATTGTAGTAGTTCATTACTGCTACAAAACCTCAAAACGTCATGGCTTAATGTATCAATATTTCATTGAGCTCATGATTCTATGGGTCAGTAATTTAGGCTGGCGTTAGTTGGGCAGGTCTTTTGATTTCAGCTGGGTTCTTTCCTGTGTCTGGGTCAGCTGCAGGTTAATTAAGTGGTTCTGCCTCTGGGGGTTGGCTGGCTATCAGCAAGAGCCCCTCCCTACCTCTCCACAAGGCCCTTAAACCTCCATCAGATTTGCCATGCTTAACACAGCACCTGGTTCATACTAAGTGATATTATTATTGTTTTTAGCCTTTCCAGGAATATAGTTCACTTTTTCAATCTTTATACTAACACGAAAGTCAAACACAGACTAACATGAATCATAGCTCTTACCCCATACCGAATTTTCCTGAAGATTTAAAGGATACAGACAAGCACCAGGCATAGCCAAAATAATTTTTTTTCCTAGAGGAGACCGAAACCATCAGAAACTTGCAAAAATTTGCCTAAGTGTCCCTTTTTTTGTTTTTGCACATTGGATTTTGGTTTTGATTTTGAATTAATCTATGAGTTTTGAACAAAGCATATAGAAATTTTATTTACAAATAGAGCCATTTTGGTTTTTAAGCACTTTTATTTATACTCCATCAATTACACACTGATTGGAAGGTGTTTATGTGAGTACCCCTTATTCTCCAGCCAGCTACACTCCTTAAATCTGTACATTCAGGGTGTGTTTACACCTTGATCTTGGACTTCCCAGTTTCCAAAACTATGATAAATAACTGTCTTTTGTCTAAACCACTCACTCTATGGTAATTTGTTATAGCAGCCCAGCTGACTAAGACAGTCACTGTCTTGAAAACATTATGAGGCAATGTAGTGTAATGCTTACAAATAGGAGTTCTGGAGGCAGGAAAATCTGAGTTCAAAATCTGGCTCTGCCATTTACTAGCTGTATCATTTTGGACAAGTTACTTAACCTGTTGTGCCTCAATTTCTTCATCTGTGATATAGGAATAATAATAATGTCTACATCATGGGTTTATAAGTGTTCAAAGAAAGAATGCACACAAAGTGCTTAACACACTGCCTTATAAATGATAAGCACTCTATGAATGCAAACTTATAATGACAACAATAGTTATTAGCCTTACCCTAAAGAGGAGAGTTTTGGGAAGGTGGGACCAATAAACTGTGTGGCATAAAGGTCAAGTATGATAAGAACTGAAAAGTGCCAATATGTATAGCATCTAGAGGGTCTTTCATGGTACCAATGGATGGGGGTGAAGTCAAAGCCGTCATGCAGTGAGAGGCTGAGGAAATGGAAAGTTAAGAAGAGAAAGCAGGTGGGTAAGGTGTTGGTTCTGGCAAGAGAGTCTTTGAAGGAGGGATAATTGGGCAATATTGTATCTACTCTATACCCTTTACCTCTACATGCCATGGGTGCCAGGGTGCCAACTTACAAGGGCAGTATATCAGCAACTCCCCAGACCTGTGCAGGAGAGTCTGTCTTTTTTTCTGTCTAGGTTGGTGTGCTTCTAACCCTTTCTTGTAAGAAAAAATTTTAAAACCCAAACTTCTATTTCTGGCTTCTCTGTAGTTTCTTAAATTACAACTTTAAATATGTAAAAGTTTCCAGTATACATAGCAAGGTGATGCAATAAATAAATTAAAAAAGAAGCTGATTTGTGAGAAAGAGAGGAGATTAGCAACAAGCTAGAAATTCACAGCTGATGTGGCAATGAATAGTGGAGTCTTCAAGCATTTGGGGGAATCCAGTGCAGGTCAAGGATGGTGGATTCTGAAGTTTTAATATTGCATGCTAAAGTGCAAACCCATTTGGCACATGACCAAATATCAGTATGGATAAAATTCAGTAGCTGATGTTTATATTTTTCTTGCACTCATTGGAGGATTTGTCTGTGTAGCAATAAACTTTCCAAGACAGAATGGTAGGGAAGATGCTTGAATTTGTAATTTATTGTTATTCTACTTAAGCATGTGTTTTATGCCAGAAGTCATGCTTTATGCAAGACCTTTTTGAATAATTTCAGTTCACCAGTCAGAAGGAAGATAATTACTCAAGGGTAAGGACCATGGTTTCTACTTCCCTCCAACTAAGCTGAATGCTGCATCTTTACCTAAAAGAGTATCTGGATGTATACAGAGCCAAGGAGATTCTTAGTTCTCCCCATTGGGGATTCTTATGGAAGCTTTAGTAAGTTGTTGCTGTGGAAAAGTAGAATGGGCCCATATTGGAGTCACAAAGTCCAACATAAAATCCTAGCTCCATTATTTACTGTGTATGATATGGTTTGGCTGTGTCCCCAACCAAATCTCATGTTGAATTCCCATATGTTGTGGGAGGGACCCAGTGGAAGGTAATTGAATCATAAAGGTGGGTATTTCAGTGCTGTTCCTGTGAATAAGTCTCACGTGATCTGATGGCTTTATAAGGTGGAGTTTCCCTGCACAGGTTCTCTCTTTGCCTGCTGCCATCCATGTAAGACGTGATTTGCTCTTCCTTGTCTTCCACCATGATGGTGAGGCTTCCCCAGCCATGTGGAACTGTAAGTTCATTAAACCTCTTCCTTTAGTAAATTGCCCTGTCTCGGGTACATCTTTATTAGCAGTGTGAAAACAGACTAACACAGTAAATTCGTACCACAAGAGTGGGGGCACTGCTGAAAAGATACCCAAAAATGTGGAAGCAACTTTGGAACTGGGTAACAGGCAGAGATTAGAACAGTTTGGAGGGCTCAGAAGAAGACAGAAAAATGTGGAAAAGTTTGGAACTCCTAGAGACTTGTTGAATGGCTTTGACCAAAATGCTGTTAATGATATGGATAATGAAATCCAGGCTGAGGCAGTCTCAGATGGAGATGAGGAACTTGTTGGGAACTGGAGCAGAAGTGACTCTTGTTATGTTTTAGCAAAGAGACTTGCAGCATTTTGCCCCTGCCCTAGAGATTTGTGGGACTTTGAACTTGAGAGAAATGATTTAGGGTGGAAGAAATTTCTAAGCAGCAAAGCATTCAAGAGGTGACTTCGGTGCTGTTAAAGGCATTCAGTTTTATAAGGGAAGCAGAGCATAGAAGTTAAGAAAATTTGCAGCCTGACAATGCAATAGGAAAGAAAATCTTATTTTCTGAGAAATTCAAGCTGGCTACAGAAATTTGCATAAGTAACGAGGAGCTGAATGTTAATCCCCAAGACAATGGGGAAAATGTCTCCAGGGCATGTCAGAGGTCTTCACGGCAGCCGCTCTCATCACAGGCCCGGAGGACCTAGGAGGAAAAAATGGTTTAATGGGTCAGGCCCAGGGTCCCTGTGCTGTGTGCAGCCTACAGACTTGGTGCACTGCATCCCAGCCACTCCAGCCATGGCTGAAAGGGGTCAATGAAGAGCTTGGGCTGTGGCTTCAGAGCTTGGCAACTTCCACATGATGTTGAGTCTGTGAGTGCACAGAAGTCAAGAATTAGGGTTTGGGAACCTCCACCTAGATTTCAGATGTATGGAAACACCTGGATGACCAGGCAGAAGTTTGCTGCAGGGGTGGGGTGCTCATGGAGAACCTCTGCTAGGGCAGTGTGGAAGGGAAATGTTGGGTCAGAGTCCCCACACAAAGTCCCTACTGGGGCACCACCTAGTGGAGCTGTCCTCCAGACCCCAGAATGGTAGATCCATTGACAGCTTGCACTGTGTACCTGGAAAAGCCACAGACACAACACCAGCCCATGACAGCAGCCAGGAGGGAGGCTGTACCCTGAAAAGCCACAGGAGCAGAGTGGCCCAAGACTGTGGGAACCCACCTCTTGCATTAGCATGACTTGGATATGAGACATGGAGTCAAAGGAGATCATTTTGGAGCTTTAAGATTTGACTGTGCTGCTGGATTTCATACTTGCATGGAGCCTGCAGCCCCTTTGTTTTGGCCAATTTCTGCCATTTGGGACAGCTGTATTTACCCAATGCCTGTACCCCCACTGTATCTAGGAAGTAACCAACCTGCTTTTGATTTCACAGGCCCATAGGTGGAAGGGACTTGCCCTGTCTTGGATGAAATTTTGGACTATGGACTTTTGAGTTAATGCTGAAATGAGTTAAGACTTTGGGGTGATCTTGGGAAGGCATGATTGGTTTTGAAATGTGAGGACATGAGATTTGGGAGGGGCCAGGGCCAGAATGATATGGTTTGGCTGTGTCTCCACCCAAATCTCATCTTGAATTCCCACATGTTGTGGGAGGGACCTGGTGGGAGGTAACTGAATCATGAAGGCAGGTCTTTCCAGTGCTGTTCTCATGACAGTGAATAAGTCTCATGAGATCTAATGGCTTTATAAGGCAGAGTTTCCTGGCACAAGCTCTTTGCCTGCTGTCATCCATGTAAGTTGTGACTGGTTCCTTCTTGCCTTCCACCATTATTGTGAGGCTTCTCCAGCCATGTGGAACTGTTAAGTCCATTAAACGTCTTTCTTTTGTAAATTCCCCATCTTGGGTATGTCTTTATCAGCAGTGCGAAAATGGACTAATACAGCGTGACTGGGTTATCACATGCCCTCTGTAAGCCCCATTTCCTTATCTGTGAAATGGGGCAGTTCTTAATGTATCAACCTCATGGATTGTTATGCAAATGAAATGAGAGGCTTAGTGTCTGGAATGCTGAGGTTTCAGTAAGTTCCTCCTGAATTTGGATTCCTAACACATCTCTACTTTCTATTCAACAGATATTTTTGAATTATTCCTGTAAATATAAACTGTGATAACCTCTAATTTCCATCCCAAAGATGGAGGGGGTTATCTATTCACAGTTATTGCCACAGTTGTACAGCAGAACATGACTGTGAAGTGATGTGACTGAGCTGCTCTGGAAGTCAGAACCCCTGGTTGTGCCTTTAACTCACTGAGTGACCTTGAAAATGACATGGATTTCTGAGCCTGCTTCCTGATTTGTAAATTATGCCTGAAGACAGGTGGTAGCATAGGATAAATAAATTCTAAGTTTTCTTCTGCCTTCGATATTCCTGATCTAGACCAGTAATTTCTTTCCACCATACTGAGCTATTGAGTCATACTTATTGCTCATGGCAGTTCATTAAGAAGCATTATTATCCAGTCATTATTATTACCAAATATGCTAAATGATTCCCCTGGAAGAACTTAGCAGCTAATGAAATTATCCACAACAAATGAATTTGCTAACTAAAATGTGTTGCAGTCCTCTGAAAAAAAGAATTTGCTTTATTATAATTAAAATTTATTTTTAAAAAGTCATTATCATTCAGTTTCTGAACTGTATGTGCATGGATATTTATTGATATACAGATAAACAGATTTTTGCATTCCATACAAACAACTATTAAATAGGGTCAAACATGAGCACGAGCTATTTGGACATTTGAAGAAACGTGGAAGGGGCTGTGTTCTTGTCATTCTGTGATGTTGTTCAGTACTGCTGTCCTAAAATATGCCTTTGCCTACAAGGATCCTGCAGGCTAATTTCAGCAGCTGGGAACCTGCCCAGACTGTCACTGGTTTTTAGGTATGCTGCCGCAGGCAGTCACCAGCAAGCATCTGTTCCCAGAGCTAGGGGGAGTTTGCAGTGTGGCATGATCCCCGGCCCCAGTATGGAACCTAATGGAAAGTGATAAGTCATAGACACAGATCCAAATATTTTTGTTAGAACAAATGTGAGACTTGTTTAAAAGTTGTATTCACACACACAAAAGAGAGTTACCTTGATCCCACAGGGGTCAATGCTGTTATTATTCTGGACCAACTATTGATACAGACTAGCAGGGAATTGCATATGGGGGACCCTGGAGGCTGCTTGGTATCACAGCCATCTCATGGATCCCCCTGTATAGCAATCAAGCTCCATGGTCTTTGCAGTCAGCCGAACCTGGTTTCAGTTCTTACTTCTGCTACTTATTACCTGTGTGATTTGGGGCATGTTTTCCCATCTGTGAAATGTGGATTATAGTAGTACCTACCTCATATGGTGAATGTGAGAACTAAATGAGGTAATGCATATTATATGCTTTGTAAAGTGCTTTTCACTTAATAAGCCCTGAGGTACTACACTTCTTATTATTTTGTGTTATTATTATTAATAAAAACTGAAGCTCAGAGAGATAAGAAAGTTATCCAAAATCACACAGCCAACAACCGGCAGGGCCAAGGTGAGAATGTTGGGCTATCTGCCTATGATTATGACACACTGCCCCCAAAAAGGAAAGGCAATGGTTATTCTGAAAACATTAAGAACAAAGGCAGAAGCTGCCAACAGACACTGTTGTGGACCCGTCAATTTTTGGCAGAATCTTGTCAGTTAGGGGCAAAACAGTGGTAATCAGCCTCATCTCTAGCAATCATTCCCACCATTCTTCTCACAGGCTGTGCTGCTGCTTCATAAAGACTGCAAACCTTGGCCTCTGGCATGCTGAAACCAGGCAAGACTGAGCTAACCTATTTGCTAATTGGGGTTAAAATTTATCAAAATTAATACTGAGTCATGCAACCAGTGTATCTTCTTTATTTTGTATAACTTCTCTTGTCTACCTCTACCCTGCTGTGAAACCCCATCTTGACATGGTGTACTCTGAGGCAATCCCCTTCCAAATCTCAAATGAAAATTGGAACACGAATGCCTCTGGTTTTTCCTTCCCTCAAACTTTCTGGAGTTTTCATTTGGCACAGCCCTTAAGACGCCACCCAGAAGCCAAAGTGGGAAGGGGAATTCAGGGTCCTAGCGTTTGCTTTCTTGCCACCCTTCTTTTCTTTTGGCAAAAGACTTTTTAATTTTCTATTCCTGTCTTATAAGAACATTTCTTGGGTCACCTTCTGAGTCCACTCTACCCATGGCTTAGAGCAAAACTGTATTTTCTTTGTTTCTTTCCTTCCTTCTTTCCTTCCTTCCCTCCTTCCTTCCTTCCTTCCTTCCCTCCTTCCTTCCTTCCTTCCTTCCTTCCTTCCTTCCTTCTCTCTCTCTCTTTCCCTCCCTCCCTCCCTCACTCCCTCCCTTCCTTCCTTCCTTCCTTCCTTCCTTCTTTCTTTTTACAAATGAAGGTTATTGTTTTTGGCTAGGTGCAGCAGCTCATGCTTGTAATCCCAGCACTTTGGGAAGCCAAGGCCAGTGGATCACCTGAGGTCAGGAGTTCAAGACCAGCCTGGCCGACATGGTGAAACACCGTCTCTACTAAAAATAGAAAAATTAGCTGGGCGTACTGGCATGCACCTGTAATTCCAGCTACTCAGAAGGCTGAGGCAGGAGAATCACTTGAACCTTGAAGGCGGAGGTTGCAGTGAGCCGAGATCACACCAACGTACTCCAGTCTGGGCCACAGAGCAAGACTCCATCTCAAAAAAAAAAAAAAAGGGAAGTTATTATTTTTAAATTTTGATTATTAAGACAGGACTACATTGTATAGATACATCTCTTAACCAATGAAGATAAAAACATTACATTATTCAAAGCCTTAATATTCAGCATCTTCTAGGATTAAAACAGTTATAAAACTTTTTTCTTTAGATTACTTTTTTAAAAAAAAGTTTGACCTAAATTTTCTGGACCTTCCTTTTTTTTTAACCTTTAGGTTTCTGGGTACATATGAAGGCTTGTTATATAGGTAAACTTACATCATATGGATTTGTTGTACAGCTTATTTCATCACCCAGGTATTAAGCCCAGTACCCAATAGTTATTTTTTCTGCGCCTCTCCCTCCTCCCACCCTCTCACCCTCAGGTAGGCTCCAGTGTGTGTTATTGCCCCTGTGTGTCCATGTGTTCCCATCATTTAGCTCACACTTACAAGAACATGCAGTATTTGGTTTTCTGTTCTTGTGTTTGCTAAGGCTAATAGCCTCCAGCTCCATCCATGTTCCTGCAAAAGACATGATCTCGTTCTTTTTTATGGCTGCATACTATTCCATGGTGTATCTGTACCACATTTTCTTTATCTTGTCTATCATTGATGGGCATTTAGGTTGATTCCATGTCTTTGTTATTGTGAATATTGCTGCAGTAAACATTCGTGTGCATGTGTCTTTACAGTAGAATAATTTATATTCCTCTGGGTATATACCCACTAATAGAATTGCTGGGTCAAATGGTAGTTCTGCTTTTAGCTCTTTGAGGAATTGCCATACTGCTTTCCACAATGGCTGAACTAATTTAAACTCCCATCAACAGTGTATAAGTGTTCCCTTTTCTCTGCAACCTTGCCAGCATGTTATTTTTTTACTTTCCATTAATAGCCATTCTGACTGGTGTGTGATGGTATTTCATTGTAGTTTTGATTTGCATTTCTCTAATGAACGGTGATATTGAACTTTTTTTCATATGCTTGTTGGCTGCATGTACATCTTCTTTTGAAAGTGTCTGTTCATATACTTTTCCCATTTTTTAATGGGGTTGTTTTTCTCTTGTAAATTTGTTTAAGTTTCTTATAGATGATGGATAGTAGACCTTTGTCACATGCATAGTTTGCAGATATTTTCTCCCATTCTGTAGATTGTCTGTTTACTCTGTGAATAGTTTCTCTTGCTATGCAGAAGCTCTTAAGTTTAATTAGATTCCATTTATGTATTTTTGCTTTTTTTGCAATTACTTTTGGTGTCTTTGTCATGAAATCTTTGCCCATTCCTATGTCCAGGATAGTATTGCCTAGGTTGTCTTCTAGGGTTTTTACAGTTTTTGGTTTTACATTTAAGTCTTTAATCTATCTTGAGTTGATTTTTGTATATGGTATAAGGAAAGGGTCCAGTTTCAATCATCTGAACATGGCTAGCCACTTATTCTAGCACCATTTATTGAATGAGTCTTTTCCTCATTGCTTGTTTTTGTCACCTTTGTTGAATATCAAATGGTCATATTTGTGACAATGTGCAGCCTTGTTTCTGGGCTATCTATGCTGTTTCATTGGTCTATGTGCCTGTTTTTATACAACTACCATGCTGTTTTGGTTACTATAGCCCTGTAGCATAGTTTGAAGTCAGGTAACGCAATGCCTCCAGCTTTGTTCTTTTTGCTTAGGACTGCCTTGGCTATTCAAGCTCTTTTTTAGTTCTACGTGAATTTTAAAATAGATTTTTCTAGTTCTATGAAGAATGCCATTGATAATTTGATAGGAATAGCATTGAATCTGTAAATTGCTTTGGGCAGTACTTAATGATGTTGATTCTTCCTATCCATGAGCATGGAATGTTTTTTCCATTTGTTTGTGTTTTCTCTGATTTCTTTGAGCAATGTTTTGTCACTTTTATTATAGAGATCTTTCACCTTTCTGGTTAACTGTATTCCTAGGTATTTTATTCTTTTTGCGGCAATTGTGAATGGGGTTGCCTTCCTGGTTTGGCTCTCGGCTTGGCTCCTGTTGGTGTATGGGAATGCTAATAATTTTTGTACATTGATTTTGTATCCTGAAATTTTGCTGAAGTTGTTTATCAGCTGAAGGAGCTTTTGGCCGAAGACCATGAGGATTTCTAGATATAGAATCATGTTCTCTGCAAACAGGGATAGTTTGGCTTCCTCTCTTCCTATTCAGATGACTTTATTTCTTTCTTTTGTCTTATTGCTCTGGCTAGGACGTCCAATACTGTGTTGAATAGAAGTGGCGAGAGAGGGCATCCTTGTCTTGTGCCAATTTTCAAGGGGAATATTCCAGCTTTTGCCCACTCAGTGTAATGTTGGCTGTGGGTTTGTCATAGACAGCTGTTATTACTTTGAAGTATGTTCCTTCAATACCTAGTTTATTGAGAGTTTTTAACATGGAGGGATATTGAATTTTATCAAAAGTCTTTTCTGCATCTATGGAGGTAATCATGTGGTTTTGTCTTCAGTTCTGTTTATGTGATGAGTCCCATTTATTGATGTGCGTATGTTGAACCAACCTTGCATCCTGGGGATAAAGCCTACTCAGTCATGGTGGGTTAGCTTTTTGATGTGTTTCTGGGTTCGGTTTTCTAGGATTTTTTTGAGGATTGTTACATCAGTGTTCATCAAAAATATTGGTCTAAAATTTTATTTTTATTTGTTGTGCCAGGTTTTGGTATTGGGATGATACTAGCCTCATAGAATGTGTTGGGAGGAGCCCCCTCCTCAATTTTTTGGAATCGTTTTTGTAGGAACGATAGCAGCTGTGCTTTGTACATCTGGTAGAATTTGGCTGTGAATCTATCTGATCCTTGGCTTTTTTTGATTGGTAGGCTATTTATTTCTGATTCCCTTTTGGAACCCACAATTTTTCTCATAACTGTTGAGGGAATCAATTTCTTCCTGGTTCAGTCTTGGGAGGATGTACATATCCAGGAATTTATTCATCTCCTGTAGGTTTTCTAGTTTGTATGCATAGAGGTATTCATAATAGATTCTGATGATTATTTTTATTTCTGTGGGTTCAGCGGTAACAACCCTTTCATCATTTCTCATTATGTTTCTTTAGATCTTCTTTCTTTTCTTCTTTATTAATCTAACTAGTGGCTGACCTTATTTTTTCAAAAAAGCAATTCTTGGATTCATTGATCTTTTGGACGGTTTCTCGTGTTTCAATTTCCTTTAGTTCAGCTCTGATTTTGGTTATTTCTTGTCTTCTTCTAGCTTTGGGGTTGATTTGTCCTTGCTGCTTTAATTCTTTCAGTTGGGATATTTAGTTGTTAATTTGAGATTTTTCTAACTTTTTGATGTGGACATTTATTGCTATGAATTTCCCTGTTAACACTGCTTTAGCTGTGTCCCAGAGATTTTGGTATGTTGTATCTTTGTTCTCATTAGTTTCAAAGAGCTTATTGATTTCCACCTTAATTTCATTTACCCAAAAGTCATTTAGGAGCATGTTGTTTAATTTACATGTAATTGCATGGCTTTAAGTGATTTTCTTAATCTTGGCTTCTATTTTTATTGTGCTGTGGTCCAAGAGTATGTTTGGTATGATTTTGGTTCTTTTGCATTTGCTGAGGATTGTTTTATGTCCAATTATGTGGTCAATTTTAGAGTATTGTGACGATGAGAAGAATGTATATTCTGTTGGTTTGGGGTGGAGAGTTCCATAGAGATCTATCAGATCCATTTGGTCCAATGTTTAGTTTAGGTCCTGAATATCTTTGTTAATTTTCTGCATTGATGATCTGTCTAATACTGTCAGTGGAGTGTTGAAGTCTCCCACTATTATTGTGTGGGAGTCTAAGTCTCTTTGTAGGTCTCTAAGAATTTGCTTTATAAATCTGGGTGCTCCTATGTTGTGTGCATATATATTTAGAATAATTAGGTCTTCTCGTTGAATTGAACCCTTTATCATTATATAATGCCCTTCTTAGTCTTTTATGATCTTTGTTGGGTTAAATTCTGTTTTGTCTGAAATTAGGATTGCAACCCTGCTTTTATCTGTTTTCCATTTGCTTGGTAGATTTTCCTCCATCCCTTTATTTTGAGTCTATGTGTGTCTTTACATGCGAGATGGGTCTCTTGAAGACAGTATACCATTGGGTTTTGCTTTTTTATCGAGCTTGCCACTCTGCGCCTTTTAAGTGGGGCATTTAGCCCATTTACATTAAAGGTTAGTATTAATATGTGTGGATTTGATCCTGTCATTGTGTTGTTAGCTGATTTTTATGCTGGCTTGTTTGTATGGTTACTTTATAGTGTCACTGGTCTGTGTATTTAAGAGTGCTTTTGTATTATTTGGTAGCAATCTTTCCTTTCTATATTTGGTGCTCCTTTCAAGACCTCTTGTAAGGCAGGTCTGGTAGTAATGAACTCCCTCAACATTTGTTTATCTGAAAAGGATCTTATTTCTCCTCTTCTTAGAAAGCTTAGTTTCACTGGATATGAAATTCTTGGTTGAATATTTTTTTCTTTAAGAATTCTTTCCTCAGCTTGGTCAATTCTGCTGTTAATACTTGTAATTGCATTGTGAAATTCTTGTTTGTGTTTTCCAGCTCTGTTAGAGCTGTTAGGTTCCTTTTTATACTGGCTATTTTGTCCTTCAGCTCCTGCATTGTTTTATTGTGATTCTTAGTTACCCTGTATTCGGTTTTTCCATTCTTCTAAATCTCAATGATCTTTCCTATCCATATTCTTAATTCTATTTTTGTCTTTTCAGCCAGGTCAGCCTGGTTAAGAACTCTTATTGGAGAACTGGTGCAGTCATTTGGAGGACACATGACACTGTCCATTTGAGTTACTGGAATTCTTGTGTTGGTACTGGAATTCTTGTTCCTTTAACTGCAGTGTAGATTAAGTACAGTCAATTGACTTCTTTTCTAGATTTTTTTTAACAAGGCCAAGGTTTTGTGCATGGTCTTTATTTGAAGCTGACTTCTTGTCTTTGGTTTTACAGTGTTAGTGGGTTATTTTTGGTGTTGAAGCTTTGGATGTGATCCATTTGGTGGTGTTTAGACATATTGGTCAGTTGATAGACTTGCTCAGTTTTGTGGCTTCCCTGTCTTTCCTCACAGTTGCAGCTGTGTTCCCTCTGAATGCTCTGAAAGTGGGCTCCTATCTCCCTTGAGTGTGGATGTAAATCATGGCTTGGCACTCCTAGGCTGCCCACTGCAGCTCTGGGGTTATCTCAGAGTTTACATTCCTCCCCCAAGTTGGAGGCAGTAGAGGAAGGGACCTTAGTAGTGGTTGTGGCCAAGGGTCTTTTTCTTGTTTCCTGGGGGCTCTACCCCAGGGAGATACAGGTTAGCAATTGCTCAGTGCAATCAGCCCATGATGGAGGGTCTGTGCTGTGGGCTCAAGCCAGGAGTTCCCTGTCTGGTGACAAGCAGAGTGGGATTCAGGGAAAATATACCTGCCTCCTCTCCTTGGGTCAATTGCAGCTTGTTGGAGGTATGGGTGAGGCACTTAGGGTCTTTGCCCCTTTGCTAGTCCAAGAGTAGCAGGGCACGTCCACTGCAGAGGTGGTGGCAGAGAGCTTTCAGTTACCCCTGTGGGCTCTGCCCAGGGAGTTGCAGAGCTGCTACTGGCTCAATAGCCCCAGCAGGGGGTGGCTGGAGGCCCATGCCTAGAGGACCTGCCTGGTGAGGAGGTACAGGAACAGGCCACTTTTCCGTAGGGGTGCTGCAGTATGCCAGCAGTCCATACCAATCCCTAGTCACCTTGGCTTTTCTGGTACCTAGGGGTATCAACAGTGAAGGCTGTGAAACAGCAAAGATGGCAGCCTTCCTCTCCCCTTGGGAGCTCCCTCCCAGAGAGGTTCAGACCTGTTGCTGGCTGGAAGACACCTGTAGGAGGTTGCTGGAGACCCCATTGGGAGGTCCCATCCAGTGAGAAGGAATGGTATTGGGAACCAGCAGGTCTGGCTATGTTTTCATAGAGCAGCTGTGCTGTTCTGGGGATCTGCTTCAGTCCCCAGATGCCCTGGATTCTCCAAAGCCCAAAGGGTGAGACAGCTAAGTCCCAAACAGCAAAGATGGTGGTCCACCCTCCTGCTGGGTGCTCCATCCCAGGGAGGTATGAAACCTCCATCAGCCAGAAAACACCAGTGGGGGTAGCTGGAGGCTCCAGCCTGGACGTCCTGCCCAGTGAGGAGAAATGGGATCAGGGACCCACTTAGAACAGCAGTCTGGCCGTGGAAAACTGCATTTTCATACAGATATGCACGACTTATACATAAAAAAGGAGATTTGGGAATTTATTTTAAAAATGTTCTCTCTCATCAGTATCTGGCTTTCAACTCTGTCTTGCTATGGAACTAAAAAAGAAGATTTCTTTTCAAGATAGCACCCATCCCTTCCTTCACTAGAGCAAAATGACTCTTGGCTTACCTTTAAAGCAGATGGGATACAAGGGAAAGAAAAATAACACCTGAATTACTAAGAAATTACAGAGGACATAATGGAAGATATTTTAAAAATAGTATTCCCATAAGACTGGTGCAGAACCAGTTATGCCATTGGGAGATATCATTCATTCATTCATTCATTCAAGAATATTTATAGAGAGCCAAGATTTGCCAGGCACCAAGGATAGCAATAAACTGAACTTTCCCACTTTCACAATCCAGATAATAGCACTGAGATCATCCACAAGTATATTTATTTGATTTTTGTAGAACCTTGGAGAAGTCTCACAGAAAATGAATACTGTTTTTCTGGACTGTCCATAATAAGAACAAAAATATTTGCTTTTTGGGGGACCACGACATCAAGCCCTGTGCTCAGGGTTGCTATATCCCAATCCTATCTGCATTTTGTGTTATCTATTGCAAGTTACCCTAAAATTTATTATATCATAATTTCTATGGGTAATGCATCTGGGAGCAGCTTAGCTGGGTACCATTTGGCCTAAGGTATCTCACAAGGTTGCAGTCAAACTATCAGTCATCTCAAGACTTGACTGGGGCTGAAAAAACTGCTTCTGATCTCACTCACATGGTTATAGGCAGGCCTCAGAAGGTCTGCTTCCAACCTTACTCACATGCGCTTATCCATGGGGCTACTTTATGACATGGCAGATGGTTTCCCCCAAATAGGCAAACTAAAGGAGAGTGAAAAAGAGTGCCAAATGTGGAAGCCACAGTCTTTTTATAACCTGATCTCACAATTGACATCCTATCACTTCTGCTGTATTCTATTTGTTAGAAGCAAGTGCATACATCCAGCCCAAACTCTAGGGGAGGAGATTACTCAATGATATGAATACCAGGAAGTAGGGATTATTGGGTGTCATTGTAGAGACTGTCTAGCATGACATTTCACTTGCCATAAATGCCATTGGCTTACAGTTCACAGTATAGATTTCTATGATTTCCCCCCAATTCTTTGGCATAAATGGTTGCAAGCATTTGATGAATTGTTTCACACATTATGGTTCAATATCAAATGTGTTTAGGCAAACTCACCATGATGATGATGGTTTGCAGGGCCTATGAAGTGGAGGATTTCTTTTAAGGTGGCATCTTGTAATCACTTGCTCTCTATTTGCTATTGAGAGAGCATATTGTAATACAATCATGGAATCACAAATTAGTGCTTAATGAGATGACTTAGACATTTAGGAGGCTTTCCCCTTGGTCATTCATGCCCTGCCATTTCACCTGTTCTAACCACCAAAGCAATTGAGCTCATCAGGTCACAGGATTAAGGGTCAAAAAATCTGGATTTGAACCATGGCCCTACCCCTAACTAGCTCTTCACACGGATCAAGTTTCTTTATCTCTCAGAAGTTTTGTTTATCCTTATTTTTTGGAAAATAAAAGATTGGACTAAATGGTCTCTAAAGGCCCTTCCCATACTAACATTCCATGCTTCTTTAGTCACAGGTATTTTTATTCTACAGGAGCTTTGTGTGGAGCCAGGTAAATGGACTTGTTTCAGTCTTGCTCTGGTTGTGTAGCTTGTTGGTACTGGATAGATTCTTATCACTTGACAATTCTCTAGAGGAACAGAGGCCCTGGAAACAAAAAAGACATTTCCACCAGTTTTGCATGGGAAAGCATTTAACGTTTATTGAAATCTTACGATGTGCCAGGCACTATGCTAAGCACTTTATAGGCATTCTCATTTGATCCTAGTAACAATCCTATGAAGTAGGTATCTTTCTGGCCTTTGTTTATAGAAGAAGAAACTGAGGCTTAGAAAGAAAAGTAATTTGTCAAAATCACAAGGTAGTAACGAGCAGGGCCAAAATTCTAATGATTGGTCTCTTTGGCTCAAAGCCAGGCTCTTGACCTCTAAGTCATCTATTTTGTGCTGCAGTTCCTTGGATGGGGCTTGACCAGTCAAAAATCCAGGATCCTGAGCAATGGAACTTATCAAAGTATTCTGGTCAGTGTGATATCGTAGAAATCTTAAGCAGCCCATGGGAACGAACAATATTGTTTCCAGAATAAGTGGATGATGTAAAGGTGTGACCTAAAGGAAGGCAGATCCTTTGAGCATATACCATTTTCTGACATGACCCCTAAATGTGTGTTGCTGAACAGAGATAACCAATAGGCCTTGTGATGATGCTGCTTTTTAAAAAAATTCTTTCTACTGTCTTTAAAAAATATTCCTCATGAATATACATTCATTTGAAAACCTCTCCTGTGTTTTTGGTGAGTAAGAGAGTTACAAAATGATAATGCCACTCAGCCCTTCCAGCCCTCCTGGATGTATAGCCATAGTTTCTTGCCAGAAGACAGAAGCAGGCAGGACTTTGAGGCTTGTTTTCCTTTTTCTCCTTTAGGCTTTTAGTCACACAACTAGAGCTTAGAATTGAATTGGAGCCACGGCACACTGTAACATAGTCTACAAGACTCCACTGGGAGCCCCCTGGCAAGGGATGCATGTATCTGGCTTCTGCTTCCTTAGTTTGCAGTGTCACTGCTACACAAGCTGGTTCCTGCTATGGGTTGTCAAGGGAGCACATCCATCACTTTTCAGTGGCTCTTGTTCCTAAGTGGCTGTTTTAGGAGGGAGCCCTGTGAAGACGGAAGAAATATTATTTCATGTAGCCATTTATTTGGCTGTTGGTAAAAGGGAAATTTCCCACCATCATGAAGAAGCCATTCCGAAGATTTTACTAAATGGGAATGGCTGCATTAGAATGATCAGAACTGTAAAGTAACAAGATATAACCACTAAAATGTATGGAAAATTTTACAGGAGCTTTGCACATCATCTAAGTAAATTATTTCACCAATCTTGCGTGATAGGTACTATTATTATCTCCATCATGCAGATGATATGTAGAGTTTATGAGACTTTACCCAAAGTGACAATTCCAAAACTGGGAGAGCTGAACAAGAACTTGGATATTTCAGAATCCAAAGCCAGTGTTCTGGGTCACTCTGTGAACTACCTGCAAATAAGTAAGGATCTTCTTTTATTTGAATCCCAGAAACTTGCAACTGCTCCTCATCAGGCATAGGCACTTAAAATTTACACCTCCTAAATTTGTAACACAGACAAAATTTAAGGTTGAATAGTTACTTTAAAACAATAAACATTTGCAAAGCACTTCAAAATTATCCATTTTAAGTTGATATAAAATATGAAATTATAAAACATCAGAATGAGAAAGGATCTCGGAAGTAATGCATCCTTTATGTACCCTTCCATTCTTTTCCCATTCCACTTGTCATTCTCACCAGTTCATTTAAATAATCCTTCTCTTGGCAGCACACTTAGTTTATAAAGCTCTATGCCTTAAAGACATTCCACAATTTGGGCATCTTCCTCATTCAGTTTCTACTTCCCTCAATATCAGACTCAAGTGGGGTGAATTGTTTATAGAAGAAGAAGCAACTGAGACTTAGAAAAGTAATTTGTCAAGATCACAAGCTAATAATGAGCAGGGCCAATTTTTTTTTTTCTTTGAGACGAAGTCTCACTCTTGTCACCCAGGTTGGAGTACAACGGCGTGATCTCGACTCACTGCAACCTCCGCCTCCCGGATTCAAGCTATTCTCCTGCCTTAGCCTCCCAAGTAGCTGGGATTGCAGGTGGCCGCCACCTTGCCCAGCTAATTGTATTGAATCCTTTTAAAATACAGTTCAGTATTTTTAGTAGAGACGGGGTTTCACCATGCTGGCCAGGCTGATCTCGAACTCCTGACCTTGTGATTCATCAGCCTCAGCCTCCCAAAGTGCTGGGATTACAGGCATGAGCCACTGTGCCTGGCCTGAGCAGGGCCAAAATTTTAGTGGTTGGTCTGTCTGGCTCAAAGCCAGGCTCTTCACCTCTAAGTTATCTATTTCATGCACCAGCAGCTACTATTGAATCTCTACATGTCTTATTAGGAAGCAAAATGTATGCAACAGAAACAATATCTTAAATCGCTCTGTTTACTTTCCTCTGGAGAAGTTATTCATTTAATAATACTACTTGCCTATTTATTTTTAATTTCAACATATTTGAATAGAGCTGTACTGTCTAATAAGGTAACCACTGATTAAATGAGACTATTGATCACTTGAAACAGCTAGTTCCAATTAAGAGGTGCTGTAAGTGTACCTCTTATAGCCAGATTTTGAAGACTTAGTATGAAAGAATGTAACATCTCATTAATAATTTTTTATATTGATTACATGTTTAATATTTTGGATAGATTGGGTTAATGTGTATTATTAAAATTAATTTACATAATGTTTTTAAGGTAGCTACTAGAAACTTTAAAATGACATGTGCCTCATACTACATTTCTATTAGACAAGACCATAGGTTAAATAATAAAGGAGATGTAACTATAAAAAGTTAATTAAATCTCAATCTTGGAAGGTCTTGAAAGAGGATTTGTGAATCCCTGAGTGTGCCAAATATTGCTTACAGAATACAGAAAAACATAATGTCTTCACTCGAGTTTCACAACTTTGATATTGCATGGTAAGTATAACTTTCACGTGCCAATACCCACAATTGCTTGAGTCGGACACCTTTTGCAGTTCTGTACTGGCTGTGTTTTATGTTTTATTTTTATTTATTTATTTATTTTGAGATGGAGTCTCGCTCTGTAGTCCAGGCTGCAGTGTAGTGGTGCGATCTCGGCTCACTGCAAGCTCTGCCTCCCTGGTTCACGCCATTCTCCTGCCTCAGCCTCCCGAGCAGCTGGGACTACAGGTGCCCACCACCACGCCTGACTAATTTTTTGTATTTTTAGTACAGACAAGGTTTCACCGTGTTAGCCAGGATGGTCTCGATCTCCTGACCTCGTGATTCGCCCACCTCAGCCTCCTAAAGTGCTAGGATTACAGGCGTGAGCCACCGTGCCTGGCTGGCTGTGTTTTATGAAGTAGTTCCGTAGTTAAAAAAAAAAAAAAAGCTACCATGAATGGAGGTCAGAAAAGAAGAGGGCACGGTCCTACAAGGGAATTAGGAGACAATTGTTTAATTTCCACATGAGAGTGATGAAAACGAAGGCACCAAGCCATTAACTCAGGGTACACTGTCTGGCAGGCCTTTGGCAGGAGATGTAACATCTACTTAAGTGGGTCACAGACTGATTGTTAATTTCTATTTATGGAGTTTGTTTCATTTTCTGGTGTCTCAGCCCCAGGGTGATGCTTTAAACAGTTGTGAAGGCATCCACAGAGGTAGTCAAAGTTTCTGGAGTGGTCATCATTAACTTCCTTTGGCAGTAATTCTCCACCTTCCAGTGAGTCTTCAGCAGAACCAGAGCTACTCCCCTGGAATCCAACCAGTAAGCTGTTATCAGAATTCTCCAGCCACTCCTGGATACCATTGCCAACAAGCTGGAAAGAACTGTGTAGGAGGAAATGCCAGACTTGCTGAGTCAGGCAACTTCTTCAACCCAAGGTTGACTGGAAATGAGCGTGACTGCATCCATGGGAACACAGGAGGTACAGTCGGCCCAGGCCCAGCTCCATCTAATTTGCCAGCTAAGGAAGGGAACTGTCCAGGGAAAGGAATGTTCCAACTCCATGCAGAGAAGGGCTGGCACAGCTAAGCTCTGTGCAGGCAGCAGGAGTGGTCACTAGCCCTCCAAATTATGGGGTTCCTTTGGTGTGGTTAGGATGTGGATGAAAGAGTGAATAAAAGCTGAGGGCTATAGCCAGGCATGGTGGCTTATGCCTGTAATCCCAGCACTTTGGGAGACCGAGGCAGGAGGATACCCTGAGCTCAGGAGTTTGAGACCAGCCTGGGCAACATGGTGAAACCCTGGCTCTACTAAATACAAAAAAAAAAAAAAAAAAAAAAAAAAAATTAGCCAGGCATGGTGGTGGGCGCCTGTAGTCCCAGCTACTTGGGAGGCTGAGGCAGGAGAATTGCTTGAACCCGGGAGGCGGAAGTTGCAGTGAACCTATATTGAGCTACTGCACTCCAGTCCAGCCTAGGCAACAGAGCAAGACTCCATCTCCAAAAACCAACCAACCAACCAAACAAGAAAACCTGAGGGCTGTGAAAGCCTATGCCACCCACAAGCTTTGGATTTAGATCTAGACTAGATGAGAGTGGGTGGTCCAATTTCAATAGCCTCCAAAGTGACTGTAAGTTTGAAGTTTAGTATGAAATTTGGAGTCAAAAGAAGTGAAGCTGATTCACTTCTACCAGTTAACAGCTATGTGATCTTGGCCAAATCACTTAGTCCTTCTGAGATTCAATTTCCATCTATAAAATGGGCATATACTACCTCCTTTCTGGGATTTAACTAAAGAAAGGTTTGTCAGGTTTAACTAAAAGATGTGTGTAAAAATACCTGTTATCCAGTACAGGGAATGCAATGAATCTTCCCTCCTTTTCCCCTTCGTGGGTTTTATTGTTAAACTCTTAATATAAATAAATATATTTCCTGTAAAACCAAATCCTAACCTTTGGTAATGATAGTGCTTACCCTAGCTTAACTTTTTTAACTACTTTATTTTGGAGATCATTGAACAATGATGATGATAACGATGGTGATGATGAATACTTTTCTTTTATTCAGCACCTACTCAATGCTTGGCCCTATAAAATCGTAATGATCCCATGAAGCAAGTATTATTTTGCTTCATGGAAAATCAACCGAAAATGGATTAAAGACTTAAATGTAAAACCCAAAACTGTAAAAACCCTAGAAGACAACCTAGGCAATACCATCCTGGACACAGGAACTGGCAAAGATTTCATGACAAAGACACCAAAAGCAAACACAACTGAAGTAAAAATTGACAAATGGGATCTAATTAAGAGCTTCTGCACAGTAAGAGAAACTATCCACAGAGTAAACACACAATCTACAGAATGGGAGAAAGCATCTGCAAACTATGCATGTGACAAAAGTCTACTATTCATCATCTATAAGAAACTTAAACAAATTTACAAGAGAAAAACAAACAACCCCATTAAAAAGTGGGCAAAAGACATGAACAGACACTTTTCAAAAGAAGACATACATGCAGCCAGCAAGCATATGAAAAAAGATCAATATCACCATTCATTAGAGAAATGCTCATTAAAACCACAATGAAATAGCATCTCACACCAGTCAGAATGGCTATAATAAAAAGTCAAAAAATAACATGCCGGCAAGGTTGCAGAGAAAAGGGAACACTTATACACTGTTGGTGGGAGTTTAAATTGTGGAAAGCAGTGTGGTGATTCCTCAAAGAGCTAACAGCAGAACTACCATTCGACCCAGCTATCCCATTACTGGGTATGTACCCAAAGAAATATAAATCGTTCTACTATAAAGACACACGCACATGAATGTTCATTGCAGGAATATGCACAATAACAAAGACATGGAATCAACCTAAATGCCCATCAATGACAGATTGGATAAAGAAAATGTGGTACATATACACCATGAAATACTATGCTGCCATAGAAAAGAACAAGATCATGTTTTTTGCAGGAACATGGATGGAGCCGGAGGCAATTATCCTTAGGAAACTAATGCAGCAACAGAAAACCAAATACTGCATGTTCTCACTTACAAGTGGTAGCTAAACGATGAGAATTTATGAACACAAAGAAGGGAACAACAGATGCTGTACACTGTAGTCTACCTGAGAGTGAAGGGTGGGAGGAGGGAGAAGAGCAGAAAAAATAACTATTGGGTAATAGCTTAATGCATGGGTGATGAAATAATTTGTACAACAAACCCCTGTGACACATTTACCTATATAACAAACCTTCACATGTACCCCAAAACCTAAAATAAAAGTTATAAAAAAGAAAAACCAACAATGTTCTCCTTTCCCATGACTCTCATTCCCACTATCATTCCTTCCTCAAAACAAGAAATGGCAGTTTAATGTTTATATTTTTTCTATGTTCATATGAATGCACTCAAAAATATTCACACCATAAAATGCTTTTTCTTATTTAAAAAAATAAAAAATGAAAATGAAACAATTTCTAATTTTAACTATCCTAAGTAGTTTAAACATATTTAATGTCATATTAAAATTTTTAAATTGAACGACATCAGGAAATCATTTTGATGAAAGAAAATTGAATTTCCCATTCTGTATGATAACTAAAAAATAAATGTTTTCTGTGGAGAAAATAAATTATGTTTAAAACAAAGACTGAAAGAACTAATTGGATATATATATATAAAATTTAGAAATAATTAAAGTACTTAAGGTTTTATTAATGTGTTATTATTTGGGAAAATGTTTCAGAATTTGTAGACATGCAAGCTTGTTTGTATTCTTTGAAGATTCCAAATGTTTCTTTTGTTTTGTATAAGAGCTCAAAAGTTACCTAATACCCACCTGCCACCATATCATCATATATGAAAGTATTTGATGAAATATGAAAAAATGAAAAATAAAAAATAATCTAGAAGTCAAAGGGTACAAAGCTATTTCTGAGACTAAAGAAATAATACTGCAAATAAAGTGACAAACTGTTGAGCATTTTTCACGGCAGGGGTGGGGAGATACTTCTGTCTATCAAGTTGATACCAAAGAAGGCTGTTATTTGCTGTTGCCCAGAGGGTCCCATTATAATTCTTTTTCTTAAATTTTACTCAAAAGAACAAATGTCATTTTAATGCCAATGTTTTCAAATGCTGTTTATTCCTTAGATTTACTTTTCTAAAATTTGGCCTCACTATTGCTCAATCCATGGCTTTACTTGCACTTTCAGCAACTGTTGGTTGACAACACCCCCTCCCCTCCCCTCCCCTCCCCTCCCGTTCCCTCCCCTCCTATCCTGTCCCCTCCCTTCCCCTCCTGTCCCCTCCCCTTCCCTTCCCTTTTCTTTGAGACGGAGTCTCTCGCACTGTCGCCCAGGCTGGAGTGCAGTGGCACGATCTCAGCTCACTGAAAGCTCCGCCTCCTGGGTTCACACCATTCTCCTGCCTCAGCCTCCCAAGTAGCTGGGACTACAGGTGCCTGCCACCACGCCCGGCTAATTTTTTTTTTGTATTTTTAGTAGAGACAGGGTTTCACTGTAGCCAGGATGGTCTTGATCTCTTGACCTCGTGATCTGCCCGCCTTGGCCTCCCAAAGTGCTGGGATTACAGGCGTGAGCCACTGCCCCCGGCCAGACCACGCTTCATTTTTTAATCACTTTCTTCACTTGGCTTGAAGCATCACTTTCTCTTCGTTCTCCTTCTATGCCACTGGCTGTTCAGGTCCTTCTTATCTACTGATTGCTGAGTATTAGAACACTGCAGAGTTTAGCCCTAAAATCTTTTTATTTCTTTGTCTTTACTTACTCCTTAGGTAACACCATTCACAGTCCCTAAGCTTTGAAAGCATTTATATACCAATGAGCCTCAAATTTATAATTCTAGCCCTGACCTATTTTCCTAACTTGTAGACTTGTACTCGGCCTCTACTGAAATCTCCAGTTGAAATCTATCTAATAGGGAATCTTAAAATTAACCTGTCCAAAATCAAACTCCTGACTCTCCACTAACATCCCCCATGTCTCTGCTGTTGTCTTCTCTTTATACAGTCTTCTACATCTCAGGAAATGGTTTCTCTGTCCGTCTAGTTGCCCAGGCTAAAACCTTATCTCCTGTCTTTCTCTGACACCACATATCCAGTTCATCAGTAAATCCTGTTGACTTTACCTTCAAAATACTATGTATTAAAAATCTGAACACTTTCACCACCTCTGTTGCTACTATCTTGGTCCATGCTTCCGTCGTATCTCACTCTCTCACCAGAATTATTTTAATAACTTCCCAGCTGGACCCACTTCTTCTTTTACCTCATTACAATCAGTTTTCAACATAGAGGCCAGAGTTATCTATTTCAAATGCAGGTAAGATCAAGTCATTCTTTTGCTCAAAACTTTTAATGGCTCCTTCTTTCACTCACAGTAAAATTCTGAAACAGTAATGACCTGCAAGGCCCTATATAATTTTGCCCTCAGCTACCCCCTCACCTCATCATTTTATCTCTTGCCACCTACCCTCTTGCACACACACTGCCCCCAAAGTTACATAGAACAATTACCTCTCTCACTTTTCATAGCTATTCACTCAAATGTCATAATTTCAGAAGGATCTTCCCTGACAACTTTTTCCCTCACCCATGGCATTCCTATCTCCCTTATTCTGCCTTAGTTTTCGCAATAGCACTTATCACCACCTGACATAATATGTATTTACTTGTTTATTTATTTTTGGTCTCCCCCATTAAGATATTAGCCCATATTCCAGATTCCAGGGCTAGCAGAGCAGATGATTTCAATCAAATCTCCCACTTGAAGACAATTTTAAAAGTGGAACAAAACACACACACAGACACACACTTTCTTACAAACATTAGAATCTAACAAGATAGTAAGGAATTAAGACAACAATTAGAGCTCAAAGAGGTGAAACAACATCTCTTTGGAAAGGAGGATTTGCTGATAGTTAAAAGGAAGCTGAGGCAGAGCTTCACTGAGATCTTGGGAAATCACCCACTGTGTATCCTGGAACCACAAGGCCTGCCATTTTGGCTTTGAGGCTTTTTGGCAATGGACTGGAAGCAGCAGACACAGAGCTAAGCTTTTGATTACTCAGATGCATGCAAGTTTAGGAACTGGTGTTCATCTCCCTCAAAGACAGAGGCCCTAATATAGTATCTTTTGCTCTGGCTTGAGACAAAGACTGCAACCTGGAAGCATGGTTTATGGATTTTACTCTAGCCTGCCAAACCCTCAAATATTGGTTCCAGACTGCTAATATACTCAGGTGTCTTAAAGGTGAAAAAAAGTAAAATCCTTTGTGAAGGAAAATAACACCATCCTGGGTCTCAAACTATCAATAAATATAATTTTAATTTTTTTACCAAGCTATGAAAGACTATAATGCAAAATGAGACTCAAGACAAATCAAGCCAGAACTAAGGAAAACAGTGGACAACAAAAACAAGAGCTACAAGAGTCCAAATACCAGAATTATCAGACGGATGTTGTAAAACAACAGTACTAATATGCTCATGGATATAAATGCTTTGTTTAAAAATATCAGTGCAGTCATAGAAACCATAAGAGGTGACCTTGTAAAACTAAAAAAGAACCAACTAGAAATTATAAAATTGAAAAATACAATAGGTAAAATGAAGAGCTGAATGGATGGGTTTAACAGAGGATTACATAAAATTGAAGAAAAAAATTGTAAACTGGAAGCTGGGTCAGAGAAAAATATACAGAATGAAACCTAAAGAAAATTTTTAAAAGGGAAAGTACAGAATATTGACTAAGAAACATAGAGGATAAAGTAAGGTCTAACATTCACATAACTGGAGTATAAAAAAGAAAAAGATAAAATGGAGCAGGGGCAATATTTTAAGAGATAATGTCAAAGAATTTCAGAGAACTAATGAAAGACATTCAATTTTACTATTTAATAAGCCTAAAGGGTCAAATGAAGCTAAAAGAATAAAAAGAGAAATTTGCCTCCAGGCCAGGCACAGTGGCTCATGCCTGTAATCCCTGCACTTTGGGAGGCCGAGGTGGACAGAGTACTTGAGGTCAGGAATTCGAGACCAGCCTGGCATGGTGGCACATGCCTGTGGTCCCAGCTACTAGGGAGGCTGAGGCAGGAGAACTGCTTGAACCCCGTGGGTGAAGGTTGCAGTGAGCCAAGATTGTACCACTGCACTCCAGCCTGGGTGACAGAGTGAGACTCTGTCTAAAAACAAAAAAAGAAAAGAAAGAAAGAAAAAAAAGAAAATAAATCTGCCTCCAGAAACATGTAGTGAAACTGTAGAAAATGAAATGCAAGGAGAAAATCTTAAATATAACAAAAGGAAAAGGACAGATTACCAACAAAAAAGCACCAATCTGATCAACAGCTGATGCGAAAAGCCAGTACAAGTGAAAACCAGAGGTCAATGGAAAGATAACTTCATGATATTGAAAGAAATAAAAAACTACCAACATAGACTTCTTTGTCCAGAGAACAAATATTTTAATAAGAAAGGTAAAATATACAGTGATATGAAAAAATAAGTGATGAACTGGCAAAATACTTTCAATTTATATTACAGAAAGGGTAAATATCCCTAACATATTAAAATCTTATTTAAAAAGAGGAGAAAGGACTAACAACCTTAGAAAAATGAATAAGAGATATGAACAAATACACAGGAAAAATAAATGCAAATTCCCCTTGGTTGAAAAGATACTCCATGTCATCCATGATAAGATAAATGAAATTAAAACTACAGCGAGATACTGTCTTATACCTATGAGATCAGCAAAAATTCAAAAATTTGACAGCATGCTATGTTGTTGAGGCTTGGGGAAACTGTCCCTCTCATTCATTGCTGTTAGGAATGAAAAATGGTTCAACAACTAAGGAATAGAACTTGGCAAATACCGATGAAATAATATCTGCATTTACTCTTTGACCCACTAGTCCCTCTTGCAGGAATCTATCCCAAAGATGTGCTGACCAAAAAAAAAAAAAAAAAAAAAAAAAGGATGCATACATAAGACTTTTCACTGCAGCACTGTGTGAAATAGCAAAGCCTGGAAACAACTCAAATACCTGTCAATGGGTGGCTGGTATACTCACCCAAGTGATAACTCTACAGTTATCAAAAATAAGAAGGAATCTCTTTATAAACTACTACAGAGTAATCTCCAAGATATATTTTTAAGCAAGAAAAGCAAGGTGGAAAAGTAAATACTATTGGTTATCTAAAAGGAAGAGATAAAAACATGCATACACAATTGATAGTATTTAAAAATAGAATGATAAATAATAACACTTTAAATATGATTACTTATAGAGGATTACATAAACAACCACCCAAGATAATCTGCAATCAAATTGTGAAAATCATTAAGACAGTTGACTAGACTAGTCCCAGCTACTTGGGGAGGCTGAGGCAGAAGAATCACTTGAACCTGGAGACAGAGGTTGCAGTGAGCCAAGATCGCGCCACTGCACTCCAGCCTGGGCAACAGAGCAAGACTGTCTCAAAAAAAAAAAAAAAGCATAAAGGAAAAATTTGATAAGATTGAAATTTTAAAATATATATTAAAGACACCATTAAAATAGATTAAAAGACATGTCACAGACTGGGGAAGTTATTTGCAAGCAAATCCATAATATATGAAGAACTGTTATACATTAAAGAAAAGACAGATAACCTAAAGATACTATAAAAATTAGATAAAAATATATGAAAAGGCAATTGACAGAAGAGGAAAAACAGTTGGTCAATAAGTGTATGAAAAGTTAGCCTTCAGTAGCAATCAGAAAAATACAAATTAAAACCACATTATCATTATACATTTATTAGAAATGAACAAAAATTAACAAATGACAATGCTAAGTGTTAGAATGGATGTGGAGAGGTGAGAACTTTTATACACTGCTGTTAGGTATGTAAAATGGTACAACTACTTTGGAGAACAATTTAGTAATAGCAAGTGTAGTTGAAAAAGCATATATTGTAAAATCTAGTAATTCCACTCCTAGATGTATACCCTGGAGAATGTGTCCTACATATGCTCAAGGAATCATATACATTATTTATAAGAGGAACAATTTGGGAACAATTTAAATGAACAAACATAGGAACATAGATAAATTGTAGCATAACCATACTGTAGAACACTATAGAGCTATAAAAATAGAATTGAATGCATCAACATAGTTGAATATCATAAACATAAATTTTATCCAGAAAACATTCTGGCTAAGAGTACATACAGTAAGGTCGGGTTTGGTGGCTCTTGCCTGTAATCTCAGCACTTTGGGAGGCCAAAGTGGGAGGATTGCTTGAGGCCAGGAGGAGTTTAAGACCAGCTTGGCTAACATAGTGAGATCCCATCTCTTAAAAAAAAGGAAGGGGGAAAAAAAAAACGAGTACACACAGTAAGATGCCTTTTATACAAAATTGTAAAGCATGACAATGCTATAGATTATTTGGAGAAGCATACATATGCAGTTCATGTATAAAGAGATTTACAGAGGCTGGGTGCAGTGGCTCACGCCTGTAATCCCAGCACTTTCGGAGACAGAGACGGGCTGACCATCTGAGGTCAGGAGTTTAAGACTAGCCTGGCCAATATGGTGAAATCTTGTCTCCACTAAAAATACAAAAAATTAGCCAGGCATGGTGGCTCATGCCTGTAATCCCAGCTACTGTGGAGGCTGAGGCAGGAATCTCTTGAACTCCTGAGGTGGAGGTTTCAGTGAGCCGAGATTGTGCCACTGCACGCCAGCCTGGGGCGACAGAGCAAGACTTTGTCTCAAAAACCAGCAAACAGGCTGGGCGCGGTGGCTTACGCCTGTAATCCCAGCACTTTGGGAGGCCGAGGCAGGCGGTTCACGAGGTCAGGAGATCGAGAGGCTAACATGGTGAAACCCCGTCTCTACTGAAAATACAAAAAAAAAAAAATTAGCCAGGCGTGGTGGCGAGCGCCTGTAGTCCCAGCTACTCAGGAGGCTGAGGCAGGAGAATGGCGTGAACCCAGAAGGCAGAGCTTGCAGTGAGCCAAGATCGCGCCACTGCACTCCAGCCTGGGCGACGTTGCGAGACTCCGTCTCAAAAAAAAAAAAAAAAAAAAGTTTTGCGGGTTTTTCCCCCCGCCCCTTTGCCCCCTCCCCCCGCCTTTATTCAGCTTCCGGTAGACGCTGGTAGGGTAAGGGAGCTAAGTAGATCACTTCCGGGCGACTGTTGTTTTATTTCCGGTTTATGCGACCCGGCTGCGATTTGCTGCTGAGGGCAGCAGCTACCGTCACTGCCGCCATCATGTCAGACTCGGACAGCGAGGAAGATTCATCTGGAGGTGGCCCATTTACTTTAGCGGGTATCCTTTTCGGCAACATCAGTGGAGCGGGGCAGCTGGAGGGGGAAAGCGTCTTGGATGATGAGTGTAAGAAGCACTTGGCAGGCTTGGGGGCTTTGGGGCTGGGCAGCCTAATCACTGAACTCACGGCAAATGAAGAATTGACTGGGACTGGCGGTGCCTTGGTAAATGATGAAGGGTGGATTAGGAGTACAGAAGATGCTGTAGACTATTCAGACATCAATGAGGTGGCAGAAGATGAAAGCCAAAGACACCAGCAGACGATGGGGAGCTTGCAGCCCCTTTACCACTCGGATTATGATGAAGATGACTATGATGCTGATTGTGAAGACATTGATTGCAAGTTGATGCCTCCTCCACCTCCACCCCCGGGACCAATGAAGAAGGATAAGGACCAAGATGCTATTACCTGTGTGTCTGAAAGTGGAGAAGACATCATCTTGCCCTCCATCATTGCCCCTTCCTTTTTGGCCTCAGAGAAAGTGGATTTCAGTAGTTACTCTGATTCAGAATCTGAGATGGGACCTCAGGAAGCAACACAGGCAGAATCTGAGGATGGAAAGCTGACCCTTCCATTGGCTGGGATTATGCAGCATGATGCCACCAAGCTGTTGCCAAGTGTCACCGAACTTTTTCCAGAATTTCGACCTGGAAAAGTGTTACGCTTCCTACATCTTTTTGGACCAGGGAAGAATGTCCCATCTGTTTGGCGGAGTGCTCGGAGAAAGAGGAAGAAGCATCGTGAGCTGATACAGGAAGAGCAGATCCAGGAGGTGGAATGCTCAGTAGAATCAGAAGTCAGCCAGAAGTCTTTGTGGAACTATGACTATGCTCCACCACCACCCCCAGAGCAGTGTCTCGCTGATGATGAAATCACGATGATGGTTCCTGTGGAGTCCAAATTTTCCCAATCAACTGGAGATGTAGATAAAGTGACAGATACCAAACCAAGAGTGGCTGAGTGGCGTTATGGGCCTGCCCGACTGTGGTATGATATGCTGGGTGTCTCCGAAGATGGCAGTGGGTTTGACTATGGCTTCAAACTGAGAAAGACACAACATGAACCTGTGATAAAATCTAGAATGATGGAGGAATTTAGGAAACTTGAGGAAAGCAATGGCACTGATCTTCTGGCTGACGAAAACTTCCTGATGGTGACACAGCTGCATTGGGAGGATTCTATCATCTGGGATGGGGAGGATATCAAACACAAAGGGACAAAACCTCAGGGTGCAAGCCTGGCAGGCTGGCTTCCTTCTATTAAGACTAGGAATGTAATGGCTTACAATGTTCAGCAAGGTTTTGCACCCACTCTGGATGATGACAAACCTTGGTACTCCATTTTTCCCATTGACAATGAGGATCTGGTGTATGGACGCTGGGAGGACAATATCATTTGGGATGCTCAGGCCATGCCCCGGCTGTTGGAACCTCCTGTTTTGGCACTTGATCCCAATGATGAGAACCTCATTTTGGAAATTCCTGATGAGAAGGAAGAGGCCACCTCTAACTCCCCCTCCAAGGAGAGTAAGAAGGAATCATCTCTGAAGAAGAGTCGAATTCTCTTGGGCAAAACAGGTGTCATCAGGGAGGAACCACAGCAGAACATGTCTCAGCCAGAAGTGAAAGATCCATGGAATCTCTCCAATGATGAGTATTATTTCCCCAAGCAACAGGGTCTTCGGGGCACCTTTGGAGGGAATATTATCCAGCATTCAATTCCTGCTATGGAATTATGGCAGCCCTTCTTTCCCACCCACATGGGGCCCATCAAAATCCGGCAGTTCCATCGCCCACCTCTGAAAAAGTACTCATTTGGTGCACTCTCTCAGCCAGGTCCCCATTCAGTCCAACCTTTGCTAAAGCACATCAAAAAAAAGGCCAAGATGAGAGAACAAGAGAGGCAAGCCTCAGGTGGTGGAGAGTTGTTTTTTATGCGCACACCTCAGGATCTCACAGGCAAAGATGGAGATCTTATTCTTGCAGAATATAGTGAGGAAAATGGACCCTTAATGATGCAGGTTGGCATGGCAACCAAGATAAAGAACTATTATAAACGGAAACCTGGCAAAGATCCTGGAGCACCAGATTGTAAATATGGGGAAACTGTTTACTGCCATACATCTCCTTTCTTGGGCTCTCTCCATCCTGGCCAATTACTGCAGGCACTTGAGAACAACCTTTTTCGTGCTCCAGTGTATCTTCATAAGATGCCAGAAACTGATTTTCTGATCATTCGGACAAGACAGGGTTACTATATTCGGGAATTAGTGGATATTTTTGTGGTTGGCCAGCAGTGTCCCTTGTTTGAAGTTCCTGGGCCTAACTCCAGAAGGGCCAATATGCATATTCGAGACTTTCTACAGGTTTTTATTTACCGCCTTTTCTGGAAGAGTAAAGATCGGCCACGGAGGATACGAATGGAAGATATAAAAAAAGCCTTTCCTTCCCATTCAGAAAGCAGCATCCGGAAGAGGCTAAAGCTCTGCGCTGACTTCAAACGCACAGGGATGGATTCAAACTGGTGGGTGCTTAAGTCTGATTTTCGTTTACCAACGGAAGAAGAGATCAGAGCTAAGGTGTCACCAGAGCAGTGCTGTGCTTATTATAGCATGATAGCTGCAAAGCAACGACTGAAGGATGCTGGCTATGGTGAGAAATCCTTTTTTGCCCCAGAAGAAGAAAATGAGGAAGATTTCCAGATGAAGATTGATGATGAAGTTCACGCTGCTCCTTGGAACACCACAAGGGCCTTCATTGCTGCCATGAAGGGCAAGTGTCTCCTAGAGGTGACTGGGGTGGCAGATCCCACAGGGTGTGGTGAAGGATTCTCCTATGTGAAGATTCCAAATAAACCAACACAGCAGAAGGATGATAAAGAGCCACAGGCAGTGAAGAAGACAGTGACAGGAACAGATGCAGACCTTCGTCGCCTTTCCCTGAAAAATGCCAAGCAACTTCTACGTAAATTTGGTGTGCCTGAGGAAGAGATTAAAAAGTTGTCCCGCTGGGAAGTGATTGATGTGGTGCGCACAATGTCAACAGAACAGGCTCATTCTGGAGAGGGGCCCATGAGTAAATTTGCCCGTGGATCAAGGTTTTCTGTGGCTGAGCATCAAGAGCGTTACAAAGAGGAATGTCAGCGTATCTTTGACCTACAGAACAAGGTTCTGTCATCAACTGAGGTCTTATCAACTGACACAGACAGCATCTCAGCTGAAGATAGTGACTTTGAAGAAATGGGAAAGAACATTGAGAACATGTTGCAGAACAAGAAAACCAGCTCTCAGCTGTCACGTGAATGGGAGGAGCAGGAGCGGAAGGAACTACGGCGAATGCTACTGGTAGCAGGCTCAGCAGCATCAGGAAACAATCACAGAGATGATGTCACAGCTTCCATGACTAGCCTTAAGTCTTCTGCCACTGGACACTGTCTCAAGATTTATCGCACATTTCGAGATGAAGAGGGGAAAGAGTATGTTCGCTGTGAGACAGTCCGAAAACCAGCTGTCATTGATGCCTATGTGCGCATACGGACTACAAAAGATGAGAAATTCATTCAAAAATTTGCCCTTTTTGATGAAAAACATCGGGAAGAGATGCGGAAAGAACGGCGGAGGATTCAAGAGCAACTGAGGCGGCTTAAGCGGAACCAGGAAAAGGAGAAGCTTAAGGGTCCTCCTGAGAAGAAGCCCAAGAAAATGAAAGAGCGTCCTGACCTAAAACTGAAATGTGGGGCATGTGGTGCCATTGGACATATGAGGACTAACAAATTCTGCCCCCTCTATTATCAAACAAATGTGCCACCTTCGAAACCTGTTGCCATGACAGAAGAGCAGGAGGAGGAGTTGGAAAAGACAGTCATTCATAATGATAATGAAGAACTTATCAAGGTTGAAGGGACCAAAATTGTCTTCGGGAAACAGCTAATTGAGAATGTGCATGAGGTTCGCAGAAAATCTCTGGTTCTCAAGTTTCCTAAACAGCAGCTTCCTCCAAAGAAGAAACGGCGAGTTGGAACCACTGTTCATTGTGACTATTTGAATATACCTCATAAGTCCATCCACCGACGCCGCACAGACCCTATGGTGACGCTGTCATCCATCCTGGAGTCTATCATCAATGACATGAGAGATCTTCCAAATACACACCCTTTCCACACTCCAGTCAATGCAAAGGTTGTAAAGGACTACTACAAAATCATCACTCGGCCAATGGACCTACAAACACTCCGTGAAAATGTGCGTAAATGCCTCTACCCATCTCGGGAAGAGTTCAGAGAGCATCTGGAGCTAATTGTGAAAAACAGTGCGACCTACAATGGGCCAAAACATTCATTGACTCAGATCTCTCAATCCATGCTGGATCTCTGTGATGAAAAACTTAAAGAGAAAGAAGACAAATTAGCTCGCTTAGAGAAAGCTATCAACCCCTTGCTGGATGATGATGACCAAGTGGCATTTTCTTTCATTCTGGACAACATTGTCACCCAGAAAATGATGGCAGTTCCAGATTCTTGGCCATTTCATCACCCAGTTAATAAGAAGTTTGTTCCAGATTATTACAAAATGATTGTCAATCCAGTGGATTTAGAGACCATACGTAAGAACATCTCCAAGCACAAGTATCAGAGTCGGGAGAGTTTTCTAGATGATGTAAACCTTATTCTTGCCAACAGTGTTAAGTATAATGGACCTGAGAGTCAGTACACTAAGACTGCTCAGGAGATTGTGAACATCTGTTACCAGACAATTACTGAGTATGATGAGCATTTGACTCAACTTGAGAAGGATATTTGTACAGCTAAAGAAGCAGCTTTGGAGGAAGCAGAATTAGAAAGCCTGGACCCAATGACCCCAGGGCCCTACACATCTCAGCCTCCTGATATGTATGATACCAACACATCCCTCAGTACGTCTCGAGATGCCTCTGTATTTCAAGATGAGAGCAATTTGTCTGTCTTGGATATTTCCACTGCCACTCCAGAAAAACAGATGTGCCAGGGCCAAGGTAGGCTGGGTGAGGAAGACTCTGATGTGGATGTTGAAGGGTATGATGATGAGGAGGAGGATGGGAAACCTAAGCCTCCAGCCCCAGAAGGGGGAGATGGTGATCTTGCAGATGAAGAGGAAGGAACTGTACAACAACCTGAAGCCAGTGTCCTGTATGAGGATTTGCTTATATCTGAAGGAGAAGATGATGAGGAAGATGCTGGGAGTGACGAAGAAGGAGACAATCCTTTCTCTGCTATCCAGCTGAGTGAAAGTGGAAGTGACTCTGATGTGGGATATGGTGGAATAAGACCCAAACAACCCTTCATGCTTCAGCATGCTTCAGGAGAACACAAGGATGGGCACGGAAAATGAAGAAAGCATGATGTCCCATGAGGGAGACGGTGGGGAGGCTTCCCATGATTTGGAGGATAGCAACATCAGTTATGGGAGCTGTGAGGAGCCTGATCCCAAGTTGAACACCCAAGACACAAGCTTCAGCAGCATCGGAAATTTCCAGCTGGGCATGGTGGCTCACACCTGTAATCTCAGCACTCTGGGAGGCCGAGGCGGGTGGATCACCTGAGGTCAGTTCGAGACCAGCTTGGCCAACATGTCGAAACTTCATCTCTACTAAAAATACAAAAATTAGCCAGGTGTGGTGGTGCACGCCTGTAATCCCCAGATACTCGGGAGGCTGAAGCAGGAGAATTGCTTGAACCCGGGAGGCAGAGGTTGCAGTGAGTGGAGATCACGCCACTGCGCTCCAGCCTGGGCGAAAGAGTGAGACTCCATCTCAAAAAAAAAGAAAATTTCCAAGCATGGTATCATCTCACTTTTCTAATTTACAGGCTGGAACAGATGAGAGCCCTCCTGCTGGGACAGAGAATTGGGTTCTAGTGGACTCTGCTACACTTAAACCTATGTGACAAACCGCCCATTATTTTATTGTTTATTTAATTATACAATGCCTCGTTCCTATATGGATTTGAGGCAAATTACCATAAATTTTGAAACAGCCTATATGTCAGAAATGAAAATGTTGCCATCTAAATGTTTTCTGTCCCTCCCCACCAGGGGAAATGGTAGGAAAATGGTAAGTTTCTTAGGGCAAAGACTGTGTCTTGTGTTTCTTTTCATGCTTAGGATACGGTTCTGTGCATAGTAGGTACTCAGCAAATGTTCCTAGAATCATAAAACCCTCAACAGATATGTTACTGAGCATCTCCTTTTCACGATAAGCACTCTGTCAGATCCTTGGGATGCAAAGGTAAATAAGACAAATCCCTTTTACCCAAAGAGCTCACCATCGAGTTGGGGGAGGGGAAGTGGAATTCAAAACATGTTAATAAATCATTATAGTACTGTGAGATAAGTGCAATTAAGAAGCTAGCTGTAAAGTATAGGGGAAATAGAGGAGTAATTATGTCTGAAAAGTCAAGGAAGTCTTCCTGGAGATAATTTTTAAGCTGATTGTTTTAGAATTAGTAGAAGTTTGCCAGACGGAAAAGTCCAGGCAAAGTGTAACATGAATGGGAAAGGCCACAGTCTAGAAATGGCAGTGTGTTTCTAGTTTGTTTGTTTGTAACTGCCTTGTTCCAGGAAGGATTTAAGATGGTTTATATTCCAGTCCTTTAATGCTGGAATGGCTAGAGATGAGACTGAAAGATGGGCAGGAAGTATATCATCACAAGCTTTGCATTTGATGTTAATGTGTATGATTTTTATATTATGGGAAATAAGCTCTTAGAGGAGTGATGTAATCAGGTTTGTGTTTTAGAAATCTGTGTAACGTATGAATGAAGAAAGAAATTGAAGAATCATATATAACAGATGTATGTGATTCCATTTTTGTAAAACACAGAACCATGTGTGTTTATTTGTATGTGTTTTTATATATACTCTTGTATGCAAAGGTAAAAGTCTGAAAGGATATATGCTAACTGTTCACAATGATAACCCCCCAGGAATGGGATTGGAGGGGAGAGGGCTTCTGTGTTTGTTATGTATGCTGGGTGGGATATTGTGCTTTTATTTCGGTATTGTTTGAATTGTTTTACAAGTATGTATTATTTTTGTAACACATTTTTTAATTCCAAAAAAAAAGAGAGAGATGGAAATTCAGAAATGTGTGTAAACAGGGAATCTTCACTGTATTGATAATGTTTTATTTCTTAAGCTGGGTAGTGGGTACCTGGATTTTCATTATATTTTTCTCTATTTCTTTTAGCATATCTCAATATTTCGTAATAAATACTTTGTAATAAGTTTCACATGTACATAATATTAAATAAATTCTAGGAGTAGATATACCAAAATATTCATTGTGTTTATCTCTGAATAGTAGAAATGTATCTTTATTTTCTTTGTTTTGCATGCTTTCATTTTCTAATTTGTATTACTTTTATTTTAAAAACATCTTAAAACATAGAAGAATGCCACAACTACACAGAGCTTCTATAAGATCTTTCACATGTTACCCTTGCTGGTACATAAGACACCGCCAAACTAATGTTCTAACAGCCAGTCAATATTTTATCCCTTCTCTCTTATGCTGCCATTTTGGTCTGTTTAGGTTTAATGATATCTGTTTTAGGTGGTACCTAACCATCTCTTGGCATAAAAAATCTGCTCAATGATTGCTTGTTAAATCTTGAATGACTGAATTGTAATAAGCATGCAGATGACTCAGCATTGACTCACCTAAAGGTAATGTCTACAGTCTTTACACAATCTTCTACACCTCCAGTGATGTAGAACTCAGCCTTGACTTGTCTGCTCATTTCAAATCCTTTCTCAAACTCTCAGTACAAGAAGACACTATTGCTTCCTTCTCCAAACAAAACCTGCTTTCTCTTACTTCTAGCCCTTTGTCCATGTACTTCCCTATTCCTAGAATGAATGCAACCTTTGTTTGTCTGCCTGGTAAATACCTATTAATCTCTCATATTACAGTTTAAACATTTCTCCCCCTGTGAAGCATTCCTGGCTCTCTCCCTTCACTCATTAATTCACTCAACAATTACTGTGGTAGGCTAAATAATGGTCCCCAAGAATCATCAGTTCCTAATATCCAGAAGTTGTGAATATGTTGCTTTACATGGTCAAAAGGACTTTGCAAATGTGACTGAGTTAAGGATCTTGAGATGAGGGGAAAGAGAGACAGAGTAAGAGTAAGACAGAAGGTGATGTGAAGACAGAAGCAGAGAGATTTGAAGATGCTACACTACTGGGTTTGAAGGCAGAGAAAGAGAAAGGAATGCAGCTCTGGTAGCTGGAAAATGCAAGAAAGTAGATTCTCCTCTGGAGCCTCCAGAAGGAACCAACTCTGCTGACATCTTGGTTTTTGCCCTGTAAGACTCATGTAGGACTTCTGATACCCAGAACTATCAGATAATACATTTGTGTTGTTTAAAGTACTAACTTTGGGAGGCCAAGGAGGGCAGATCACCTGAGTTCAGGAGTTCGAGACTGGCCTGGCCAACATGGTGAAACCCTGTCTCTACTAAAAATACAAAAATTAACTGGGTGTGGTGGCGCATGCCTGTAATCCCAACTACTCGGGAGGTTGAGGTAGGAGAATCACTTGAACCAGGAGGTGGAGGTTGCAGTGAACTGAGATTGCACCACTCACTCCAGCCTGGGCAACAGAGGAAGACTCCATCTCAAAAAAAAAAAAAAAAATGAAAAAGCCACTAAGTTTATGGTCATTTGTTACAGCAGCAATAGGGAGCTAATACACCCATGTAACCACTATTTACTAGACACAAAGCTAGGCACCAGAGGCATAGGCAAACCAGAAACACATGATCTCCACCTTAAAAGAGCTTATAATCTGATGGGGAATATGAATATTAAACAACTAAACAGAAATTAATATTTTCATGATATTAATGTACTTAGATTGATGGTAATTTAGATTGATGGGGATAAGAAAAGTCTGCTTGGTGACATTACATTTAAGCAGGGACTTGACAGATGAACAGGGCTTAGTGATGTGAAGAATGGGGGAGGAGGGGTTCTCAGGAGCACGTGCTAATGCCCTTTAGCAGGATAGTGCTTGAGGTGAGGCAATGTGAGAAGAGGCTGGAGAAGTGGGCAAGATCCAAATCATGACCGACCTTATTGTCTACATTACAGAGGACAGATTTTATCTAAAGTATGATGGGGAAGACATTGAAATGGCAAATGATGTGTCATAGCTAACATTTTAAAAGATGATTTTGACTTCTCTGTAGGGACTAGATTGAAATGGGTGACTATAGCAAAGGGAAGACCAATAGGAGACTATACAAGAAATGATGTGGTATGGAGAGGGAGAGGTTTGGGTAGAGTCAACATTTAATTTCAAGGCAGTGCTCATAGGACTGGAGAACATGAATGTCTGGATAAAATGTTAAGGACATTTACCAAGTTTCTAATATGACCATGTGGACAGATGTTTTGTATATTTTCCTGAAATGAGGACCCCTGAAGGAATGCATAGGCTGGGGGCAGTGGAGATCAAATGTTTGGTTTTCAAATTGTTAAATCTGAGGTGCCTGTGGAACAACCAAGTAAAGATGTCAGGTAATAGTTAAGCATGTAGGTTTGGAGATCCAAAAAGATGTCTCAGATGGCACTTAAAGTCATAGGGGTCATAGGGGTCATAGGGGTGGACTATAATTTCTAAAGTCGTAGAAATTGCCTAGGAAGAAAAGATACTCAAGGCTGAACCTGGAAAACTCTGACATTTAGGACTCAAGGAAGGGGAGAGGTGATAGCAAAGGGGATTGAGAGGGAATGCTCAGAGAAGTGGAGAAAACCTGGAATCAGTGAAGTCCAGGGAAGAGTATAGAAGAGGGTGAGAGTGTTGAATGGCAATAAGAGGTAAAGAGGTGAGAACTGCAGAGTGTTCCAAACTTGAGCAATGATGGCACTTATAGGCAACCTTAGCAAGAGCAAATGTGGTTGGGTCATAGGAGCCAGAATGAGGAACGAAAGTATTACAAGAAAGTGGAACATTGTGCAGGTGACTTTCTTTTTTACGAAGTTTAGAATAAAAGAGGACAGACAATCAGGTGGTAGCAGATAAGGAATGTACAATCAGATAAGGGTTCTTCTTTAATAGGTGATGGAATTGCAGAGTTAAGCACAGAGGAGAAAGGAAGAGGCTGGAGTTCCAGGAGAGAAGGGGGATAGCCTGTGGGACAAGGCTCCTAGGATGGCTGGAAGGAGTGGGATCTCTCCCCTGAGAAGGGATTCGTCTTTGCTAGAAAGAGAACACTTCCCTCTGAAGGAGAGGGTACAGATGCTGGCAGGTTTGTTCTCTAGGCGGCAGGACAATGAGGATGAGAGTTCCATTCCGATGACCTCTATCTTCATCATGAAGGTCATCTCCTGAAAGTGAGTTGAAACTGAAGAAGGACAATCTTAGATCTGGGGAAAGAGGGGAAGTCACTGACTAGTCATAGTGGAGCAGGAAGTGAGCAGAACAGGCCATTATCTCTGTGATGCCCCACTTTACCTTAAACAGGGACCCACCCTAGCACTGTGATACCGGTGGAGCCATTGTTTGTGTGAACCTCTTTTCTTTACTAGACTATGAGCACCTTGAAGACAGAGATTTTGCCTTTCTCATCTTGCAATTTCAATATTGTTACTGGTATATAGTAAAGATAGTTATTCATTCAGTCACTCATTCATTCATCCAACATTTAATTATTTAATGTTGGATTTAATTATTTATTAAATTAAATGTCGAACAAATGAGTGAGTGACTAAATGAAGAACTATTATAAAACAGGACTGGTATGAAAATGTCTGATTGGTCATATCCCACATATTTCTACATTGCCGGCATTCTGAGAAATAACAAAACCCCTGGAGAGTTTGCCATCAATGGGCAATGACTTTTCCAAGGACTGCAAGAAGAACATACATTCAGTGAAGCTAGGTGAATGTGGGTCAGTGAAGTGGTTATAAGTAAGGCTTCTTTCTTCAAACAGATATATTCTAAAAAAAAAAAACTTTGGAGAAAGCAGAATATTCTAGTTATTTCCTGCCATTTTTCCCTGGCAGAGCCAGAGCCTAGTCCTAGGGATAAAAGAAACTTCTATTAAAAATAGAGAACATTATCACCTACAATCTCATATCTTATTTTTGCAAGTTTCAGTCTTTTCTATATATATACATTTTTTATAGTAAGCATGTTATTTAAAAAACTATGTATGGTGCTTTTTTCCACTTAAAATTATATCACATGAAAGTCATAGTAATCAACACAATGTGGTATTAATTAAAGGATAGACACATAGATTAATGGAACAGAAAGAGAGTACAGAAATAGACCCAGACAATGGCCAATTGATTTCAACGAAGGCACCAAGGCAATGTGATGGAAAAAAAATGATAGTCTTTTCAAAAAATAGTGCTGAAATAGTTGAACAACCATATGCAATTAAAGAGAACTTCAACCATACCTCACACCATATGCAAAAATTCACTTGAAATGGATGATAAGCCTAAATTTAAAATCTAAAATTATAAAACTAGATAAAGCAGAAAATCTTTTTGACTTTGGATAGGCAAAGGTTTCTCAGGACACAAAAAGCATGAAATGTAAAAGAAAAAATGATAAATTGGGCTTCATCAAAATTAAAAGCATCCACTCTTTAAAAGACACCATTAGGAAAATGAAAAGAAAATTCACAGACTGGGAGAAAATATTTGCAAAACTGAGAATTCTTTAAGAATTATGAATGCAAGTCCTTTATCATAAAGTCTTGATAAAGGATTTGCATCCAGAAAACTTGAATTCTCATAATCATTCAGAAACCTTGAATAATCTCATAATTCAATAATAAGAAAACAGACAGCCCAATTCAAGACATGGGCAAAAGGATAGATGTGATAGATGTGGTGGCTCACGCCTGTAATCCCAGTGTTTTGGGAGGCTGAAGTGGGAGAATTGCTTGAGGCCAGTAGTTTGAGACCAGCCCTGGGCAACATAGTAAGACCCCATCTTTACAAAAAATAAAAAAATTAGCTGGACATGGTGGTGTGCACCTGTGGTTCTAGTTACTCAGAAGGCTGAAGTCAGGGGATCATTTGAGCCCAGGAGCTCGAGGTTGCAATGAGCTATGACTGTACCACTGCAACCCATCCTGGGTGACAGGACAAGATACTCTCTCTAAATAAATAAATAAGCAAAACAAAACAACAAAAAAAAACTGACTAAAATATCTGAACAGGCACTTCATCAAAGGTGAATTATGAATAGCAAATAAGCATATGAAAAGATGCTCAATGTTATTAGTCATCAAGAAAATGCAAATTAAAACCACAATGACATACAGCTACCTAGCAAATTTTTAAAAAGAGAAAAGCAACTGACGATACCAAATGCTGGTGAGGGTGCAGAGCAATTGGAGCTCACATGCATTGCTGGTGGGAATCCAAAATGGTATAACTACTTTGGAAAATAGTTTGACAGGGATCATGAAAAGTTAAACATAAACTTATCACAGGACCTAGCAATCCCAATTCTAAATAGATAGTTACCCAAGAGAAATGAAGGTATATGTCTACATAAAAAGCTGTTCACAAATGTTTATAGTAGCTTTATTCATAATAGTAAAAATATAGGAACTGTTTATTGGTAAATGGATAAACAAATACACATTGGAATACTCCTCAAGTTTCTTGGAAGATTCTTGGAAGAATCTTTTTTTTTTTTTTTTTTTTTTTGAGACAGAGTCTCACTCTGTCACCCAGGCTGGAGTGCAATGGCACAGTCTTGGCTTTCTGCAACCTCCAACTCCTGGGTTCAAGCGATTCTCCTGCCTCAGCCTCCCGAGTAGCTGGGATTACAGGTGCACAGCACCATGCCTGGCTAAATTTTGTATTCTTAGTAGAGATGGGGTTCCACCATGTTGGCCAGGCTGGTTTCGAACTCCTAACCTCAGGTGATCCACCCCCCTCAGTCTCCCAAAGTGCTGCGATTACAAGCGTGAGCCACGGTGCCTGGCCAGAAGAATCATTTTTTGAAGGACCTGCACTGACCCGTTCAGAACTGGCCTGACATTTCATCAACTGTGAGTTGCCATTGGAACATGTGGGAGCCCTGAAAGCAGGGTGATGATAAACCTCATACTCAGTGCAGGCTTCAGCCCTGTCATTTCCCATTCCTCCCTTCCATTTGACTTGCTTCATTCCTCATCTGACTTGGTGCTCCCTCAGTTGTTCCTGCTGTCCCCCATGGTTTGGCTTTAGGTCTCCTGTGTCACGGCCAGACAGCCAAGGACATTTCCACAGAAAGGGCATTTGCTGTGAGGCCTAGCTCCCCCACTAGTTAGCCCAGTGTTTTATATCATCCAGAGCCAGAAGGAGAAACAAACTTGAGACTTGAGGGCAGGACCTTGTCTTAATGCCCCTTGCAGTGACCAATCATCTGCAAGCGCAGAGGCTAATATATAGTAGGTTCCCAATACACGTTTGCTTTGTGTGCCGATTCAGTTTCTTTTTAAGATGTTAAATTCAGCTCTTAGTGAGTGGAATTAAAGTGTAAGCAATGCAAACTGAAAATGCTGTAGCAGGAGACATGCTTAAATCGTTGGAAGAGAAATAACCTTGAGGTACTTAATTTAAGGATATTGGCTATGTAATATATTTTTGTTCATTCGTATATTTAGCAAATATTGATTGAATACCAACTATGTTGTAGATTCTATGCCAAATTATTTAGGTCAAAGGGATCTATACCCAAGAAAAAAATATATATTATTAATTAAAAGTTTCAAAGATATATATTGGTCTTCACATATTTTGCTTCCCAGTGAATTTTTTTCTCTTCCTTTTTTTTTTCATAGTAAGAAAATAGATGTTATATACAGGTGTCCTGGAATGGTGACTGGCAACTGTCTTTGTTGTCCCAGCATACATCATTTCAGTGAGTAGTGAAGAATGAAGTAACAGAATTCAAAGAGTTAGGGGAACATGTGTAGTTCTACACCATCTATCTACTCCCTTCTCTTCCACTGTGACTATCAGCTGTTTTAAAATCTGTTTCGTCCAAAGGGAAGAGTTTTCCCATGTTTATTTCCTCTTTCTTAATTGGAAAGACACAATTGTTTTTGCTACTTCAAGTTTTCATTAAACAATAACTATTTTCAGAATATTAAACATACACAATTAAATTTTCTCTATTAGTCTGTTATTATCTGTAGTTTCTTTCTTTCTTCCCTCCCTCTCTCCCTCCTCCTCCCACCTCTTTCTTTCCATACTTCTTTATTCTTGTGTTTTGATGATTTTGATTTTTGTTAAATTAGTTTTGGGTATTGCCATTGGTTTCATAAATTATTGGTAGGAAGAAACAGAAATAAAACATCTAATAATATTTGGAGACTGACTTATATATAGACAATTGAGTCATGTTCATTTTTATTGATGCTAAGTGGTGACTTCAAATCATTTGGGAGAAAACTTTTAATAAATAATTTAAATAAACATTTTCACTTGAAAAAATAGTAGACAATGTAACATAGAAACAAACTTTGTACATCCCCATTATAAGTATCCCTCTAACTTTCTGGTGTCCACAAGCAAACACACTCTAATATATTACAACTATACTAATGGTGGTTGTGAAGGGCACATGGGGAGAAGGGGGATGAAGGGAATGTTCCACATTGAGCCTAAGTGGTATTTTTCTTGTTGTCGTTTTTATTCTTCTTTTCTTTTTGACAAGGTCTTGCTCTGTCACCAAGGCTGGAGTACAGTGGCACAATCATGGCTCATTGCAGCCTCAAACTCCAGGGCCCAAGTGATCCTCCCATCTCAGTTTCCTGAGTAGCTACAGGTGTGGCCCCTACATCTGGCTAATTTTTGTATTTTTCTTTCATAGAGACAGGGTCTCCTGATGTTGGTCAGGCTGGTTTCAAACTCCTGGTCTCAAGTGATCCTCCTGCATCAGCCTCCCAAAGTGTCGGGATTACAGGCATGAGCAACCATGCCTGGTCTAAGTGCTATTCATTGCTGGGATTCTGGGTGGCACTCCTGTCTGCTGCAGGGATTAGAGGACAGTGGGTATTCTGAGGATCCCTAAATCAGGAATATACAATCAGTGAAGCCGTACACTTTCAATTAGCAGAATCTAGCCTTTTAGTGGCCATCTGCTGCCATCAGGCATTGCCTTGAGGAGCCACATCCCCCAAGCCCTACTCATGGTGATTATTATTCGTCAAACAGAATAGATTTATTCCTATGGATAGGGAGAAGGCTTTCTCCTTCTAGGAAAAGAAGATGATCTCCATATGGTAATGTATATGACATGCGGAATAGCTCTTCACTTCTGAGAAGAAAGTATGGCCAGAAGCACTCCTCCGTAATGTACAGAGCGTGGGCTCCTGCTGACCTCTGAGCATACTACTGACACTCTGTGAGTAGCTTTGGATAGATGTGTGCTTGCTTTCTAGGAAATGAGTTTATAACTTCCATTAAATTTTCAAAGATGCTTATGACCCCACAAATAGTAACCAGTGTTTTATATTTGGTCTTTGATTGACCTCATCACTGCTTATAACTTCATTTGATATCTACATGATGATTATCTCAAATATATTTTTCCAACCCTTTACTCTCTAGAAATAAAATTTATGGATAATATAACCATTCTATACACACTTTTGAAAAATTATGCTTAATGCCTTAATGGCAATATAAAGGAAAAATCTGAAAATAATTTATAATTAAACTGTATATATTTCTTTTTTTAATCTTTTAAAAAAAATTTTATAGAGATGGGGTCTTGCTATGTTGCCCAGGCTGTGCTGGGATTACAAGTGTGAGCCACTGTGCCCAGTCAAATCTGAGTGTATTTTTTTTCTTTCTTTTTTTTTTTTGAGACGGACTTTTGCTCTTGTTGCCCAGGCTGGAGTGCAATGGCACGATCTCGGCTCACCGCAGCCTCTGCCTGCTGGGTTCAAACAATTCTACTGCCTCAGCCTCCTCAGTAGCTAGGATTACAGGCATGCACCACCATGCCTGGCTAATTTTGTGTTTTCAGTAGAGATGGGGTTTCTCCATGTTGGTCAGGCTGGTCTCGAACTCCTGACCTGAGGTGATCTGCCCACCTCGGCTTCCCAAAGTGCTGGGATTACAGGCATGAGCCACCGCTCCCGGCCAACTGAGTGTATTTTTATTGCAAATGCTTGCATGTGACTACACAAGAAGACATAATAAAGTAGTCAGAGGCTCCTGTCGAATTGCACTGTGAGTGACAGCTACGTATACAGCTGAGCATCTGTGTATCATTGGCAGCTCAAATACCACGAGAAGCATTGTTATTGACATCAAGATTTTCCAGAATGGAGACCACTCTTGGTAAAGTTCTAGACAAAATGAGGTTCTCTGATTTACAAGGAAGTTTCATTCCTGAAAATTCTAATATACAAAAACCATATCAAAACAAATGAAACCACCACTACCACCACCACCACCACAACAAATTTTGTGTTCCATGTACAAAAACAAAACAAAACAAAACAAAAAACAGGAGTTAGGTTGTCAGCTCAGCTCATTATAAACAGCAATGTCACCCACATGAATCCTGCTGGGATAAGAAATGATTCTTCATTGTGTGGGATTGTTCCTTGCATTCAGGATGTCCAGCATCCTTGGTCCCTGTCTGCTGAATACCAGGTCACCTTCCCACCCATCTCACAACAACCAAAAACATTCCCACAAATGTCCAAAATGCTCTCAAAGAGGTGGTGTCACCTCCATTGAGACCACTGACCTGCTGGGTAAAGTTCAGACTCCAGAGCTTTGCACAGAAATCCTTCAGGATCTGGCTTCTGCTTCCCTCTCCATTCTCATCTTGAAGCATACACGCGCCCTCTGGCCATTCAGACCATGAGAGTTTCCCTGACTGGGTGCACCTCTCCTGTCCCTGTGCCTGGGAACAGCTCTCTCCCAGTTTAACTTATTCATGATCACCTCCTCCCCAGTCACTCCTCAGCTCAGCTCATCCAGGATGGATTAGCACTCCCTCCCCACGCCCACTCTTCTTGCTTAACTCTTTACAACCCTCGCAAACTGTATAGTAAGAGACGGTGTTCTTGTCAATTTCTTCCCAGCTCTACTCCCACACTGTGATCTTCTTAAGGGTAGGAGAAAGAGCTCCTGTGTCTTTGTACTCTGATGTGGTCCCCCTGAGTGTTCAGTTAATGGCTGCTGATGTTGATGTGCTTACGGAGAAGACCTGGCCTTCTCTCCGTGCCGGGCTCTGTCCTGCCCCCAGGTCTTCTACATGCTCTTCCTTTTTCACTGGTCCTGTTCCCTTAGCTCCGTCACATCCTACTCTTTCTTCAGGTCTCAGCTTAACTGTCACTTATCCAGGAGTGTTTTCCTTGTCCCCCTCCCCCAGCTGTCTCCACAATCCTATTATTCGTCATTAATGTACCCTGTACTTCCCTTAATACTGGAGATGATCTCCAGGTCCTTGGAAAGAACAGGGACAGCAGAGGAAACCTAGACTGAGAACCAGGCTCCTCCTTCTGTTTAGTGGATCTTGTAAGCCAGAGGTTCCTCCATCATCCCTAAATGACTAATAATGACTTCTCTCTAACCTTAGACATTGAGGCTCTTGAGCTTAATTTATCTTGATTTGGAAATATAAAGAAATGTGACCCTCTTGCTGGTTACATTTCTTAGTCTGACACTAGTGTGTAAGAGATGCTCAACACAGAAGTTGAATCAAAACTTCTGACACACACAAGGGCAGTTAGACTTTTTTGTATGACCCAGAAAATAATACAGGCACTCAAATAACATAATAACCAATACTTGCTTATTATCCTGTGGAATTCTCTGTGCTCTATAAAAACATTAGCAAGGGGAATGGACTCCACAGTGTTAAGGTAATTAAATAGAAAGGTAAGCATTTTATTGTTGAAAAAAGTGATTAGTTAAAATTATATACAAAGACATGTAGGTTATTATTTTACTAAATGAAAAAAGAAATTCTGCCACTCTACTCTCAAGATTTGTCTACCTGGCGGCTGATTTACCTGCCTAGAGGGTGAGCCATCTCCATTCCTCAAACTTGGAGGTAACTTCTTTGAGGACCTCATCATGCTGATCCTTTGAACTATTCGAGGATTTTTGGGCTTTCTCTGAGTTTCTGTCTCTTCTATCCTGTTGTTTGTTTGTTTGTTTTTGTTTTTGTTTTTTTAAAGACAGTCTTACTCTATCGCCCTGGCTGGAGTGCAGTGGTGCGATCTCGGCTCACTGCAATCTCCGCCTCCTGGGTTCAAGTGATTCTCCTGCTTCAGCCTCCCGAGTAGCTGGGATTACAGATTCCCGCCACCATGTCCAGCTAATTTTTGTATTTTCAGTAGAGATGGGGTATCACCATGTTGGCCAGGCTTGTCTCGAATTCCTGACCTCAAGTGATCTGCCCACCTTGGCCTCCCAAAGTGTTGGGATTACAGGAGTGAGCCATCATGCCTGGCCTCTTCTATCCTTTTTAAAATAACACGTTCAATGGTTTGTCATTCAATAGTCAGTCCCATATGTACCCAAAGCTCTGCAATTCCAGAAGAAAATTTCACAAATGATAAAATGCATTAATTCTGGCCAGGCATGGTGGCTCACATTTGTAATCCTAGCACTTTGGGAGCCCTAGGCAGGCGGTGAAACCCCATATCTACTAAGAATACAAAAAATTAGCTGGGCGTGGTGCAGGTGCCTATAATCGCAGCTACTCGGGAGGCTGAGGCAGGAGAATCGCTTGAACCCAGAGGATGGAGGTTGCAGTGAGCCGAGATTGGGCCACTTCACTCCAGCCTGGCAAACGAGCAAAACTCCATCTCAAAAAAATAGCATTAATTCTAAAATCTCTTTAGCAGCCTAAAGTCAGTTGTTACTAATACTTTTTTCTAATTATATTTTTTAAAATCCTCTTTAAGACGAAGCAGCATGCCTTACTAATAATATACTTGAATTTTATCTTCCTGCATACATCATGTCCCATAGCCCAGGTGAGTTTTTCTGAGTTTTTAATCTCAGTACAATTCATGTTGTTTTTCTTATTACCATTGCTATTATCAATTATAAATATTTCTTATATATAAACAAAGTATCACTGACAAAGCATAAAATTAGGTACTAGTTCTTGCTGGTCAATTTGAAACAGAAACTGCTTGCACTATACATATGTCATTAGCCATCCCAAAATGTTCACTCATGAGATACAGGAAAATAATAATCACTAATGCATATGCTTTAGAAGATGACTAAATCCTTAATAATCTGGAAGTGCTCTAATTTACTGATTAGGAAGCTAATGTGGTTTTTCACACAGTTTTGAGTTGACTTGAATAAGATAATTTTAAATATCAATTATTTCCCCTGCACAGAAATAAAACATGTCTTACAAATGTGTATTCAATCTACATGTGAATATTGGTAAACCATAAGTGATTTAGATAATACATTCTATTTATGGATTAATGAATACCACCCTAATTGACAATACTTACATTTAAAAATATAATTTAGTAATAAAGAAAAATTGTGAGAAATAAGATTGCTTAGAATAACAGTAGAATCCCAGAAAGAATTTTCTGAGTTCCTACTCTAAACTCCTATTTGCATGGCATATAAATACATTTTTATACATGTATGTATGTATATATATAACAACAAAAACCTAGATATGTAACTGCTTTGCCTAAACAACATTTTCATGATTGACTATTGCTAACACATAATTTTAAAACAGTGCTCTATATGTCTTTTGATTTCAACACATATTATTCATTTCCTAAGGATACATGAAAAAGGAGAAACAACCCTTAATACAATCATTAAGCACAATAGAGTGAGAAACAAAGAAATCAGGAAAAAGTGAGAACAATATTTCTACAAGTACAAGAAATGGGGGGAAAGTGTTAGGACTCAAAGCCACCAAACGGTGTATTCCAATTTTCAATATACATATGTGATTTGCAAAGCCACATCTCCTGCCTGTGTTCTTCTTTGTATTGACTCATTCCAACACACACTGCTACTAATACATTTTGTCACTCACGTAGTTTCTATGGCCTGCTGACCACGAACACAGAGTGGCCAGTCTGTTGGCATCACTCTGGAGTGGCTGTGTAAAGGAGCTCATGCTCCACTGGGATGCCTTCTAGAAGGTCCATTTCCAGCTCTCAGTGTCTTTTATACATGCCCAGAAGTCACATGAAGACTTCTAGCTCCTCTATATCTCCCTGGCTCTCGATGTACAGTGGGAAGTGAAGATGATAACTGATGAATTTGGGACATGGCTGATCTTTGGATGAGGGTCTTTGAATCAATCAATTCTCCCTTTAGCTTGTGTGATAAGGTCTATTGATGTACATTCTGTATCAATTGCCATACAAGAAACTTGAGATCCTCCAGTTAAGACTGTTGGTCTTGGCTTGGTGCAGTGGCTCTTGCCTGTAATCCCAGCAGGTTGGGAGGCCAAGGCAGGAGGATTGCTTGAGCCCAGGAATTCAAGACTAGCCTGGGCAACATAGTGTGATCTGATCTCTACAAAAATTAAAAAAATAAAAATAAAAAAAATAGCCTGATGTGGTGGCATGTGGCATGTGCCATGTGCCTGGGAGGCTGATGTGAGAAGATTGCTTAAGCCCAGGAGTTTAAGGCTGCAGTGAGCCGTGATTGAGCCATTGCACTTGAGCTGGAGCGATGGGCAACACAGTGAGATCTTGTCTCAAAAAATAAATGAATGAATAAATAAAGATTGTTGGTCTTCTTGCCAATCTTTTCATTGCCCTGTTGGGGCAACCCTGTCTCTCTCAGTAGTAGCCCTTTGATAGGCATCCTATATTTTTGTTTCTTTTTTATTACTGTAAATCAAGTGGTTTCAGCTGTAACTTATTTGTTCATGTCCAATACTCCTTCCAGCTTAATTTTATAATTTTGGACTAATTTACAAAAAACCTAGCATGCTAAGGTTTAAGAAAACAGCATAGCATGGAGTAAATGTAAGCGTATGCAATGAAATCCATGGCAAAGTTATCCCGGAGTGTCCTTAGTGATGGGCTGCTCTCCTGTCTAAGCCTAGCCCAGGCAGAGATGTGGGCTGCAGTGGTGTTGGTGGTGGTGGTGCTGGTGGTGCTTGTGAGAGGGTGTGTGTGTGAATGTGACTTGCCATCCAGTCTTGGAAATGGGGATGTGAAATGTGGGTTCCCACATCTTCATTATTCTGTGGGCACTATCTCCTTAGATTGGGGCCAGATAAAATGGGAACCAACTAATTGGAGGATTTCTGAAAACACTGCTACTGTTCTAGAAGCTGTATCCCAGCAATACTTAAACCAGAGTGGATTATTGCCATCAGGTGTCGCCAATCTCATTTAGGACCAGATCGGATTTGGGTCTCAAAACTAGACCCCTCCCAGCTCCTGGTCTGGATCACTTCGTTAAACTGACAATAAAGGAAACACATTTTGGGCCGATGAATTTTTATACTCAGCTAATCATGTTAAGGAGGAGTTTTACTGAATGTGTTCACATGTATTACATTTCTTATTTTAAACACAAATATGATAATGTTATGGTAGAGAGGTGGTAATACATTCTGCAATGCAATACATTGCATCTTATTATTTTCCCCCTCACTAATTTGTCTTGGAGAGCTTTCCATAGCAATATACGTGGATCAATGTAATGATCCACATGTATTTTAATGGCTGCCTTGTATCGCATTACATAAATGTAGCATAATTTACTTGACTCACCCAATGAAAGATGTTCCACACCTGCTCCCACCAGCTTTGTGGTTGTTTTTGCTGTTATTACAAATAGTGTTGTAATAAGCATTCTTGAATATATATCTTTGCGACATTTGAAAGTATATCTGTAGAAAAAATGCTAGAAGTAGGTTAAAGATTAGTAGTCAATGGAGAGAACAGGATTCACTACAGAGGGATGAGATTTGCAGCCACAGGAGTTGACAGGAAGGGACTCTAGCCTTAAGAAGCATTCTAGATAAAGCACAGGAAAGGAAAATGGCTTTAATTAGTGTGCATTTAGCTGAACTGAATAAATTAGAAATGTTGAGAGAAGTGAGAGGAAGACCAGAAGTTATGGTATTGTCGAAATTATCTTTGTGTTTTTCACATATGAAGAGTAGAAAATATCTTTCTGGCGGGGGGATAAAGAAAATTACTGAGATACCCATCAACAGGGGTTTGGTTAAACCAGCTGTGGCATAGTCATGCAGGAGAGTACTATTCAGCTGTTAAAAATGAATCTACTCACAGTGTATTGAGTGGAAAGGGGAGGTTATAGAACATTATGAATAGTGTAACACTGGGAGAGAGAGTTAGTTCCCTACCAAGTAGCCATTCTAGTCTTCTCCCTCAAGTTAGGGGGACCTTATTTTTAGGTGGGCACAATGTAACCCACCAGTAAGATGACATTTCCCTCCTCCTTTGCAAAGATGGGACCATATAACTAAATTCTGGCAATAAAGTATAATCAGAAGTTTCCTTGAAAAGGAGAGAATTATGCCCCTTTCCCTCTCCTCCAATCTGCTCCTTGGAATGTGGATGTAATGGCAGAAGCCCTGTCATTTTTCCCTGGTGAGAGATAAGATTTATCTTGTTCAAGTCATAATTTGAGAGTTTCTGTTATGTACAGCCCAATGTAATCCTAACTCATATAAACTCCACTTGTGTTTAAAAGTTAAATATGTACACGTGTATGCACAGACACACACACCTCCCCCCCACAAGGTGTATATGCTTAAAGCATACATGCATAAAATATTTGTAAGTGTATATAACAAACTATTAAGAGTTGGGGGGGTATGAGATTATAAGCAGGAAGTGGGGGGACTTTTTTATATTTTTTAAGTTTTAGCAATAAACATGTTTTCAGGAAAAATTAAGATATTTCTATTTTTATGAAGAAAACAGCTTGACTGATAATTCCTTGAAATCAAAACACTGGGCAAGTCCCTTATTTGTCTCCGTCCTCCTCAGATGAAATGCCCTCATGATCGTGTCGGCTTCCCGCGTATTTTTCAATGTTCCCAAATTATTCTAGGAGGATTGGTTTACCCACACATTCTGAATATTCCAGTTCTCTTTTAAATAGACAGCATCCTGCTTCTAATACAAAAACAGTTTAAGAGAAAGCTGCATTTACTAATGGGATGAATAATTGATTCCAATAGATAAGAACACACATACACAGCTGCTTTGACAATAAAAAGAGGTTTTCTCTAAATAAGACTTCTCGTTATCATCAGCACTCAGTTGTTACCATGGCTACATGTTCATTTAAAAGCCAATCACAATAAGAAAATATGATCCAGTTCTCCAGATAACTGGAGTGGGTTAAAGCAAGACTTGGAGAGGAAGCTGCTTGGAGGCCCTGGAAGTCCAGGGACTTCTGGTCTGAGAATTACAATGCCTGGTCCGTGCTAGTCTCTCCTAATTGTGTTCAATTTCATGGGTAACACAAATAAATAGACATATGGAATATGGAAGTAAGGGACAGGAGGATTGGCACCCCAAGAGAAACCAAATCAGGGAGCTGGGGGGGAGGATGGGGAAGACATTGATTAGTGATATGATACATATTCAAAATTCAGGTAAAAAGAAAGGTCTAAGCCTGATGCAGTGGCTCATGCCTGTAATCCCAGCATTTGGGAGGCTGAGGCAGGAGGATTGCCTGAGGCCAGGAGTTCGAGACCAGCCTGGGCAACATAACAAGACCCTGTCTCAAAAAAATCAAAAAATTAGCCAGCATGGTGGCACGTGGCTGTAGTCTCAGCTGCTTGGGAGGCTGAGGCAGGAGGATCAGTTGAGCCTAGGAGTTGGAGACTGCAGTGAATTATGATCATGTGACTATATTCCAGCCTGGGTGACAGAGCAAGACCCTATCTCAGAAAAAAAAGAGAAGAAAAAAAAAAAAGAGAGAAAGGTCTCTGTATTATGTGGTTGATTCCAGGGCTGCCTAAGAAGTGTAAAATTATTCTGTTTACAAATTCCAACTTTAAATTGTATGTATACATACATAGTTATATCTCCAAGTGCCAATAGATATTTATAACTTGAGAGGCAGATGGCTAGGACATCGAATCCTGAGCATGTGAATTCTAGCTGCTACCAAATACCTGTTCCCACAGGGTCCCAGGAGAAAATGGCTTATATACACAGAGGACCAGCCAGGTTAATGGGGAGTTTTTATCACTCTGAGGGTGGGTCCCAAGCCCCAGAGCAGAACTCCAGTTAGGCCGAACCATGTAAAGAGCTCCTTTTAAATAATGTCTTTTTTTTTTTTTAATAAAAGTAACACATGATAAGGGGGAAAAAAGAAATGTAAGGCAGAAAGTGAAAATCTCCCACAGTTCTGACCTCAGTTACCAATTTTTCTCTATCTTATATACTCTACAGAAAATATCTTTCCTAGATCATATGTGCCCTTCCTGAATTATTTCCTTAGGAGAAATGCCTAGAAATGAAATTTGTGGATTAAATTAACTTTCAGAAAGGTTGCACAAACTCTGCACCCATCACTAGTATAGGAATGTCAGTTTCCCTCTGCGTGCTAGCAAGGTTGAAGATTTGTATATATAAATTAGACATTTTCTTTTTTGAGTAAATTGTCAGTTCACATGCTGTTGGGGTGTTGTTCCAGTTACCTATTGCTGTGTAACAAATAAACAACAGCCATTTTATTAATTATATCTCATGATTTTGTGAGTTAGGAATTTGGGCAGGATTCAGCTAGGTATTCTTCTCTTCCTATATCAAATGGGGTCTCTTGATGATGTGGAGTTGCCATCTGGGGTGCCAAGATGCCATCTGGGGGTCCAAGATGACTTTACTCACCTGCTTGGCACCTTGGTGTAGACAGCTAGAAGGATGGGCCAGTCCTTGTCGTCTCAGAGCCTCTCTATGTGTACAGAATAGTTCAGCTTCTCAGAGGTGGCTCATGGCTCCCAGAATTGAACGTGAAAGCTGCCAGTCATATATACACATAGAGAGAGAGAATGAGTGAGTGACAGAGAGTAAGGAGGTATATATATATATATATGTGTATGTGTGTGTGTGTGTGTGTGTGTGTGTGTGTGTGTGGAGAGAGAGAGAGAGAGGGAGGGAGAGAGAGAGAGAGAGAAAGAAATAGATAGATGGGGTCTTGCTTTGTTGCCCAGGCTAGTCTCAAACTCCTGGCCTCAATCAATCTTCCACCCTTAGCCTCCCAGATACTGGGATTACCGGAATGAGCCACTGCATCCAGCCATTGCTGCCAATCCTCTTAAAGGCCTAGTGTCACTTCCACTGTTCTAAATTGGTCAAAGCAGTCACAGGTCATCTCAGATTTCAGGAGAGGGCCAATAGACCCTACTTCTCAATGGAGGAGTGGCAAAGAATTTGTCCTCATTTTTATTTATTTATTTATTTATTTATTTATTTATTTATTTATTTATTTATTTTTGAGACAGAGTCTCGCTATATCACCAGGCTGGAGTGCAGTGGTGTGATCTTAGCTCACTGCAGCCTCCATCTCCTGGGTTCAAGCAATTCTCCTGCCTCAGCCTCCCGAGTAGCTGGGATTACAGGCACCTCCCACCATGCCCAGCTAATTTTTGTATTTTTAGTAGAAGCGGGGTTTCACCATGTTGGCCAGGCTGCTCTCCAACTCCTGACCTCAAATGATCCGCCCACCTAAGCCTCCCAAAGTGGTGGGAATACAGGCGTGAGCCACGGTGCTCGGCCTGTCCTCATCTTTAGTCTGTCACAAATGTCGATATTAGGATATTCTTTTCCTTTCTCTCTCTCTCTTTTTTTTTTTCTTGAGGCAGATTCTCACTCTTGTCGCCCAGGCTGTTGTGCAGTGGCGTGATCTCAGCTCACTGCAACCTCTGTCTTCCGGGTTCAAGTGATTCTCCTGCCTCAGCCTCCCTAGTAGCTGGTATTACAGGTGCCTGCCACCATGCCTGACTAATTTATTTTGTATTTATAGTAGAGACAGGGTTTCACCATATTGGCCAGGCTGGTCTCAAACTCCTGACCTCAGGTGATCCGCCTGCCTCACCCTCCCAAAGTGCTGGGATTACAGGTGTGAGCCACCATGCCCAGCCTAGTATATTTCTGAATACTAAAAAAAAAAAAAAAAAAAAAAAATCTTCATATTTTTTGAGGAAATTCTACTTGAACATGGTGGAAAGTCCCTAAATATGTTATTTAATTTAATTTGTAATTTTTTTTCTCTCTTGTTTTTTATTTATTAGAGATGTCGTCTCGCTCTGTCACCCAGGCTGGAGTGCAGTGGTGCTATCATAGCTCACTGAAGCCTTGAACTCCTGGGCTTAAGCAGTCCTCCTACCTTGGCCTTCTGAGTAGCTGAGTCTACAGGTGTACACCACTGTGCCCAGCTCTCCCTCACTCACGGCTAATTTTTAAATTTTTTTTAAAGATGGGGTCTTGCGATGTTGGCCAGACTGTTCTTGAACTCCTGGCTTCGAGCAATCCTCTTGCATCAGGTTCCGAAAGTGTTGGAATTACAGAGCCACTGCACCCAGCCTAATTTGTAAGTAGTTTACCCAAGGTTTTTGCATCTGTATTGACACATAAGATTGGTTTATAGTTGTTGCTGTTGTTTTAAGTTTTGGTACCAAGGTATTTTTAGGTTTTGGTTTTGTTTTGTTTGTTTGGTTTCTTGTCTATAATTAGGTAGGTTTTCCATTTTAACTTTGAAGGAGTTTATAGAGGGAGAATCATATGTGTTTTTAATATTTAAAAAGGCTCGCCCACAAAGCTACCTGGGTTAGATTTCTTTGGAGTGAATTCTATGATTTTTAAAAAATTTATTATTGGAGGGGCAATTCCTCAAGGATCTAGAACCAGAAATACCATTTGACCCAGCAATCCCATTATTGAGTATATACCCAAAGGATTATAAGTCATGCTGCTATAAAAACACATGCACATATATGTTTATTGCAGCACTATTCACAATAGCAAAGACATGGAACCAACCCAAATGTCCATCAATGATAGACTGGATAGAGAAAATGTGGTACATATACACCATGGAATACTATGCAGCCATAAAAAGGAATGAGATCATGTCCTTTGCAGGGACATAGATGAAGCTGGAAACCATCATCCTCAGCAAACTAACACAGGCACAGAAAACCAAACACTGCTTGTTCTCACTCATAAGTAGGAGCTGAACACTGAGAACACATGGACACAGAGAGGAGAACAACACACACCAGGGCTGCTTGCAGGGTGGGGAGTGAGGGAAGGGAACTTAGAGAATGGATCAATAGGTGCAGCCAACCACCATGGCACACATATACCTATGTACAAACCTGTATGTTCTGCACATGTATCCTGTTTTTCTTTTTTTAGAAGGAATAAAGAAAAAATTTTTTAAAATTTATTATTGGTATTCAGATTAGATCACTTCATCCTGAGTCAATTATGGTCATTTAATGTTTTTTCACATTTAAGTCTAAAGTTGTATATTGTTGCTAGGTTTATGACCTCAGAAAGGACTTTGTAATATTAAGGAAGGAAAACAAAAGGATAAAAAAACCTGGGAAGGTAGTTCTTCCTGGAAAGATTTATTGCAGGCACAAGAAGCAAATTTTAGACCTCATGTTTATTTAATTTTTTTTCATGAAATTCATGAAGATATAGGCTCTTTGAAATTCAAAAAAAAAGAAAGAAGAAACTTATACTGAGATGAGACCTGTACTCGAACAAGCAGCTGAGGTAGAACGAGAAACCAGGTTTGGGCTCTTAGGAACATCCTTACTCCTGGCAATAGGAGGTTCAAGAAATCTTTGTGGATGCATATGTGAAGAATTAATGAATGATTAGGAATATCAATTCTCACAGCGTGGTATAGTCTCATGAAAACTGTAGAAGATTGAGCTGGACCACAGGGAACTGGGGAATATCTCTGAGTGCTGTTTTTGTTATCTACTTGAGTCCTCTCCTCCACACCCCTTAAGGTTAGTTCTCCCAGCAAGGGTCCAGCGTGATTACTCTGCTCTGGGTTTTCTCTTACCATTGCTTGTTGCCACTCTCCTGGTTCACCTGTTCCCATCCCTGAGCACTGCGCAGGCCACAGCTTTTTTAACCACTTAATATCCCCAGCAACTAATCATGGTGTGTCCTTGAATTCTAGATTTCCTAAGGCTGCAAAGAAAATTAAAAACAGGCCGGGTATGGTGGCTTATGCCTGTAATCCCAGAGCTTTGGGAGGCCAAGGCAGGAGAATCACTTCAGGCCAGGAGTTCGAGAGCAGCCTGAACAATGTAGCAAGACCTCATCTCTAAAAATAAAAGTGTATAATTTAATAATTCTTAGTAAGTTTAAAGAGTTTTGCAATCATTACTGCAATGGAATTTTAGAACATTTCCTTCACCCCCAAAATAACCTCATTCCCATTTGCAGTCACTTCCTATTTCCACCTTCAGCACCACCCCCAACCCCCGCCACACAAAACCACTGATCTGCTTTCTGTTTCTATTGATGTGTCTGTGATGGATATTTCATATATTTATATTCATATGAATGGAACCATGGTCTTTTGTTTATGTCTTCTTTCACTTAATGTATTTGACATGCATTCATGTTGAAGCATGTGTCAATACTTTGTTCCTTTTTATGACTGGAATAGTGTTCTGTTGTATGGATATACCACATTTTTCTTATCCATTCACCAGTTAAAACATTTGGGTTATTTCCATTTTTTGGATATTATGGCTAATGTTCTCAGGAATATTCATATACAAATCTTCATGTGAATGTAGATTTTCATTTATCTTGGGTAGATAATAATGGCTGAATTGTTGGGTCATATGGTGACTCTATTTAGTATTTTAAGAAACTGAAAAATGTTTTACAAAGTGGCTGCACCATTTTCCCGCCAGCAGAATACAAGAGCTACAGTTTCTTTACATCCTTGTCAATATTTGTTATTGCCTGTCTTTTTATACATTGGCTTGGTAAATATTTGTAATAATGTGCAGAACCCCATGCCACCTTTGTAGACCCTCAGATGGAAGCTGCTGTCTGGAATCACATTCTGAGAAATGGATTAATGATCCTTCATTGATGCTTAGGACCTATGTACACCTTCTAGCTGTTGTATTAAACTCTAAAAACTCTAGTATTTTTGTAAAAATATCATACTACTTAAAGCTTAGGGTGTCCATGTGTCAACAACTATTAATTATACTCCAGTATCCAGTCTCCCCTTCTTACACAGGGGGCAGTCAAAGAGTCCCATTTTCCAGCCTCCCTTGCAGCTAGATGTAGCTATGTGATTAAGTTCAGAAGAATGGGATGTGAGCAAAAATGTCATGTTCTCTTAAATGGAGCCAGGCTTTTACCTCTTTCCACATCCTCACTGATGGGAAGGTGGAAGTGAGGGTAGCCATCCTTAGACCAAAAACAGATACTAGGTGCTGAGATTGGCAGGGCATTAAGACACAGGAGGCTTGGGCAACTGGTGATTGCAGGGCCTCCATTCCAGCCCTGGATTGCTTACCTGGATTTTAACATGAGAGATAAGTATCTTGTTTAATCCAGTGTTATTTTTTATTTATTTTGTATTTATTTGAGATAGAGTTTTGCTCTGTTGCCCAGGCTGGAGTGCAGTGGCTGCAATCTCAGCTCACCGCAACCTCCGCCTCCCGGGTTTGAGCAATTCTCCTGCCCACCATCTCGCCTAGCTAGTTTTTTGTATTTTTAGTAGAGACGGGGTTTTGCTATCTTGGCCAGGCTGGTCTGGAACTCCTGACCTCAAGTGATCCACCCACCTAGGCCTCTCAAAGGGCTGGGATTACAGGCATGAGCCACTGAGGCTAGCCCCAGTGTTATTTTGAGGCTCTCTGTTATAACAGCCAAAAAGTGAAATTACTAACATCTAGAATGGCTCTGTAGGAACATGGCTAGAATATGAGAGTCTCCGCTGATGAATATGATCATACAAGGAAAAGCAGGGCAATGGAGACAAAAAAGCCTGGGAAGAAAATCAGGACACTAGAATTTTAGTAGCATTTTTACCTCTAGTCAGCTTTGTGATCTCAGGCAAGCCTTATATTTCTCTGTCTTCATCCATGAAACAAGATGGTTTTGTACAATTGAAAATAAATGCTTAAAGCTTGAAAATAAAAAGCATCTGGTTTCAGAAGTACTTCATTATATTCCTAATCACTGGTAAAGCAACTCAGTACTACAGGCTGGGAAGGAGAGGGAAGGGAGACATAGGGATAGATTTGTAGAAGAATACAAAATTACAGCTAGATAGAAGGAATGAGTTCTAGTGTTATATAGCGCTACAGGATGATGATAGTTAACAATAATATACTCTATAGTTTCAAATAGCTAGCAGGAGGATATAGAATGTTCCCAACACAAAGAAATGATAAATGTTTGACATGATGGCTATGCTAATTACCTTGACCTTATCACTATACATCATATGTGTTGAAACATCACTATGCACCCCATAAATATGTACAAATCATTATGTGTCATATAAAATATTTTTTTAAATTAGGAAAATATATAAATGTAAACCTTTGGTATCAACTTTCTTAAATAAAATAGATGTTAATCATCTTCAGCAGCTGCATCAGTGAGAATGTTAACATGGGGCTAAGAATTTTCCTATACACAGTATTAGCTTTTTAAGTCCTCCCAATGGGTGCCATTATTGTCTTCATTTTACGAATAAGGAACCGGAGGTTTAATGAAGTTAAGGACCTTGCCCTGCCATGCAGATAGTTAGTGGTGGAGCCAGGGTTTCAGTTCCTGAACCCGGAACACAGGTGTTTGGCCACTGCTACTCTGCCTCCATAACTATACCCAACACATACCAGAAGATCAATAGTGATGGCCAGTGGCCATATGACCACTTTAGCTATTGTGACTAGAAGGGATTATCATAGTTTAAAATGAATAAACAACTCTTCCTAATTTGCTCACTAGGTTAAGGTGACATGGGAAGCGATCATTGTGAGTCATCCAGGGAACACAGGGAGAGTTAAGCTGATGGTGACGCACACCTGCCAACTGCTGAGAAGAAGATAATCAGCCCTCAGGAATTTTCGACCCAGCCGCACTGCACAGCCTGGTTGCTGGACTCCTAGGACCAAGCCTCCTGGGCCTGGCAGGCAGCTGTAATTCAGAGTGGGTCGGGGCTCCAGGATGTGTTGTTTCCTGTGCATTGCACTTCGCAGAGGCACAGAGCAGAAGCTAAGCCTGATGGCCTCTGAACACTGGTTGGGTTTTTTGTTTTTTTTTTTTCCTGGCAACAAAATTAAAGCCGCACCTAGGGATTTATCCACCCTTTTGCTGATCTCGATGTGAACTGTGCAGCTGAATCCCTGCACACAGTACTGACTCTCTCAGGGTGTTGCTTAAAATGTGGCTGAGCACAAATGCAAAACATCGTCTTGTTGAAGTCAGCACACAGAATTAATCTCTAAAAGTAATGAAAGAATTAGTTTCACTTTGTAAGATAAATAAATGCAAAGTATGGTGAAGTCAGAGATGTTCAGCTCAGTTGCTTTTAGACGGCGACATCTTTTGAAAATGATATTATATATTTGGGACACATTTTAATGCCACTCTAATATTTTGTGTCATTATAAGGATGCTTTGGGTTTTTTTGTTGTTGTTTTTGAAGTCTATTATCATATGAGTTTTTTTTTTTTTTTTTTTTTTTTTTTTGAGACAGAGTCTCGCTGTCGCCCAGGCTGGAGTGCGTGGCGCGATCTCGGCTCACTGCAGGCTCCGCCCCCCGGGGTTCACGCCATTCTCCTGCCTCAGGCTCCCGAGTAGCTGGGACTACAGGCGCCCGCCACCTTGCCTGGCTAATTTTTTGTATTTTTAGTAGAGATGGCGTTTCACTGTGTTACCCAGGATGGTCTCAATCTCCTGGCCTCGTGATCCGCCCGCCTCGGCCTTCCAAAGTGCTGGGATTACAGGCGTGAGCCACCGCGCCCGGCCTAGCATATGAGATTTTTAACCTGCAACGATTCACCTTTAGTGAATTTTTAGTATTGGAAATGATACAAACTTCAAAGTGTCTTGTCCTTTTTTTTTTAAGCTCTTGGAAACATAAGTATGTGATTTAAGTAAATATAAAATTAGAAGCCATCTCAACACTAGAACTTATTCCTCCTATCTAGCTGTAATTCAGCCTCTAAAGTCAATGTGAAATAAGGCTCACTGTTTTTCACCCCATCCTTAATGTTATTTTTACCCTGACACTGAATTTCAGGCTTTGGTTTTTCTGAGTGTGGCCCACCTGCTTGAAAGTTGTTCTGAAAGTTTGAGGTAAAGGAAGTCAGATCAGAGAGCATTTTCCCCCAGTACCTAACAAAATGAATAAAATGACTGCATTTTAAAGGGCCAAAAATTTCTCATCAGTGATCAAGATTGAAAAAAGGGCAAAACTTCATGTAATACAGTTTTACTTTCAACTGTACGGCTTTCAACCTTGTAATGACACTTGCTTTTCAGAAAGAGAAATGAGGAAAGGTGAGTCAACAAAATTCTGATACTTTTTCTGAATTCGCCTTGATGTGAGGAAGAAGTGGATTGAGGCACGAGGAGGTGGGGAAACTGACGCGTAGGAGCCACTCTTCGTGCCACTGCAGACCCTTGCTAAGGCAGAGGAGTAGGCAGGGCCGGGCATTCTCCAGGGTGCTTGCTGAATGGGGGGATCAACCAAAGCCCTTGGGTTAGAAAATGTCCCATGCTGGGAAGACTGGCCCTGGTAAGGGACATTTGCTGGGGCTTGCAAGAGAGAATCCAGCCAGGCTAGCAACAACTGTAGGCAGCTCCTGATGACCTTTCCTCCTTCTCACAAATTTTCTGGCTAGAGAAAAGTAAGTAGAAAATAACAGCCAGCCCTCAAGTTTTTCTCCATAGGGGTGATAAATAGTTTCCAGGAAGAGGGTCAAGAAGAACTACAGTAGATCAGAGAAACTGAAGTTTATATCATAGCACTGCATAAGTTTAGCTTGAGCAAAATTAAAATAGATGTCATGTCAACCTTGCAAATGAGCCACAGAGGAGAGACGGAGAGAGAGACGGTTAACATGAACATAACAATCTCTGCTTCACAGGGTTGTTGGAAGGAGTAAAAGAGAAAAAGTATGTAAATACTGGACCACAGAACCTGATACATTCGAAGTACACAAAAATCATAGTCTCTCCTCCACTCCCATCCCTTGTTCATAGCCCTACATATTGTTTTTTGTTTTGTTTTGTTCAATTCAGGCTCACTTTGCATTCTTACAACACTGTAGATCTTTAGGTTGAGTAATTTATGGCTTAAAGCTAAATAATTATTTGCCAGCAAACTGTTCTTGAAAATATATAGCAGCATAGGAAAGGTCATGGGCTTTAGTGTTAAAACTAGGCTTTGATCCTGGGCCACCTCCTTGAGTTTGTGTTTTTAGGCAGGTTATACATTTAATCTCTCTGAGCTGACTTTTCTTCTTTATGAATGATATCAATAATCCTAAATTTGCTGTACCTGTATATGTATAAAGCACCTGGCACAAACTAGGTGCTCCTTGAGGTGGCACGGCTAATATCATTTTACTTTTTCAGATTGTTATACAAAACATCAACAAATTATTGTTTGTTACCCCAACTGCTTCTTTAGGAGGGTGAATTTTGTTACTGTAGAGTATCTTGTTTTGCAGAGCATCATGATGTCCTGGGGTCTGTAAGTTTATGAATTGAGGGAAGTGGCTAAATTGCTTGCGTAAGAAAGGGAAGGAAAAAAAATGAAAATGAAGGCAGGAGTTGGGGGTAGGATGATCAAGAATCTAGGGGAGAGAATTAAGCAGTGAAATCTGGGAGGATTCAGGGATAAAAATCCCTAGAGAGGATAAACCAGGAAGGGATTTGTGGAGGTACAAATATAGAATGTCAGTTTTTACCTTGTTTTCTTCAGGTTGTATGATATAGCTACCCTTCCTGTCCCCTCCTTCTCCTCCAGGACCCACAGAGTCTTCAGGGAAATTAACATTGCTCACTGAAGCTTTTCTGTGGCTGGATTTGGTGGAGAGCAGCAGGACTAGGAGAGGTGCTGAGTTCTGCATCCAGGTTGATGCAGTGAGGCTGAGCAGTGTGAGCAGATGCGGGAATCAGAGGACACAGGGGAGGTGACATCTGGCTTTTGGGTAGATTTCCACAGGTCTGATCATGCTCTGTATTTGCCATCTGCCAAACTTTATTGAGGAAGTCTTAAGGTCTGGGTAGATATGAAATCTCTCAGCTTGTAGAATTTCAACTACTCTTTCCATAGTGGCAGAAAAGTAGAAGTGAAGACAGTACCAGGACCATGTATCTTCTAGAGACTTAATATACCCCTGCTCTGCCTGCTTCCACCCCACCCCCATCAATGTCAGACATAAGCCATGTCTGTTCTGCACATTGGTTCAAGGTCTCCAACCAAAAGTGTTGGAGTTCGCTCTTTGAGTTCCCTTCCTACCAGTAGCCTGGCTCAGTCCTCGCAAGAAAGATGCTGTTCTGTTTCCTTAGACATCCAACTGTATAACTCTTAATTCCCTGGGGGAGCTTCCTCTTCTGTTTGCTTCTGAGTCTTAATTACTTCCCATCTCCCTTAGCAGCAGTGTTCTTATACCCTAGCCACCACCTCTCCCAGAATATTCTGTGTTGCCTTAGACCTCTTCTGCTGGTCACCATCAAAATACTCCTTCCTTCCTTCTCCACCTAGACAATCACTCATAGTTTCAAATTTCATCACAAAATTTGCTACTCTGATGTGCTCAGGAAGCTCAATTAAGGAATCAGTGTTCAGTTGCAGGCCTTGCCCTTTCATCTCTGTATACTTCTTTCCTAGGTAGTGCCATTCACAACTTGGCTTCCGTTATTGACAGGCATATGACCACAAATTTATATCACCCACACAGATTTTTCTTCCAAATTCTAGTCTCATATATCCAACTACCTATTTGATGTTCCCTATTTTAAATGTTCAAGAGCTCCCTTAATCTTCTTAAAAATTATGATGTAAGTACTTTTATTATTCTTATTTTGAAAACTAGAAAGCTGATGCTCAGAAAATTAAAATATGTTTTGTGTGTAAGTTCACACAACTGATTAATATTTGATGGAATCTGAACACAGGACTCGCTGCCCTCAAACCTTATTCTTTTATCTGGCATGTCATTACTGCCTTTGAAATATTTATATCAGGGAAACTGAGATCACTTGCTTGACATAATAATAATAATAAAAGTATTATCATCGAGAAATGAAAACAATTGATTTGAATAGGAATAAGACAACATGCTGATAATTTCAAAACTTTCAGCATGATAACAAAATTTTAGGACTGAGTTTCCTTCTTCACTACATGATATCAATAATTCTAAATTTGCTGTATTTGTATACATAAAGTGCCTGGCACAAACTTGGGATCTTTAAAAAATTTTTTTTTAATTTTTAATTTTTGTGGGTACATAGTAGATGTACATATTTATGGGATACATGAGATGTTTTGATACAGGCATACACTGTGAAATAACCACATTACGGAGAATGGAGTATCCATCCCCTCAGGTATTTATCCTTTGTGTTACAAACAATCCAATTACACTGTATTAGTTGTTTTAACGTGTACAAGTAAGTTGCTATTGACTATAGTCGCCCTGTTGGGCTATCAAATACTGGGTCTTATGCATTCTTTCCAACTTTTTTGTACCCATTAATCTCCTCCTTAGCACTCACCCCCCCACTACCCTTCCCCGCCTCTGGTAACCATCCTTCTACTCTCTCTGTCCTTGAGTTCAATTGTTTTGATTTTTAGGTCCCACAAATAAGTGAGATATTCATGAGATATTCATCTTTCTGTTCCTAGCTTATTTCACTTAACATAATGACCTCCAGTTCCATCCATGTTGTTGCAAATGACAGGCTCTCATTCTTTTTTATGGCTCAAGGACTTCATTGTGGATATGTACCACATTTTCCTTATCCATTCATCTGTTGATGGACATTTAGATTGCTTCCAAATCTTAGCTATTGTAAAAGCTGCAACAAACATACGAGTGCAGATATCTCTTCAATATGCTGATTTCCTTTCTTGTGGGTATATACCCAGCAGTGAGTTTGCTGGAGCGTATGGTAGTTCTATTTTTGGTTTTTGAGGAACTTCCACACTGTTCTCCATAGTAGTTGTACTAATTTACATTCCCATCAATAGCTTATAAGGGTTCCCTTTTTTCCACATTTTCACTAGCATTTGTTATTGCGTGTCTTTTGGATACAAGCCATTTTAACTGGGGTGAGATGATATCTCATTGTTGTTTTGATTTGCATTTCTCTGATGATCAATGATGTTGAACACTTTTTCATATGCCTGTTTGCCATTGTATGTCTTTTGAGAAATGTCTATTCAAATCTTTTACCTGATTCTTTTTATCAGATTATTTAGATTTTTTCCTATAGAGTTGTTGTCAGATGGATGGTTTGCAAATATTCTCTCACATTCTGTGGATTGTCTCTTCACTTTGTGGATTGTTTCCTTTTCTGTGCAGAAGCTTTTCAACTTTATGTGATCCCATTTGTCCATTTTTGCTTTGGTTGCCTGTGCTTGTGGGGTATTGCTCAAGAAATTTTTGCCCAGACCAAAAGTTCTGGAGATTTTCCCCAATGTTTCCGTGTAATAGTTTCATAGTATGAGGTCTTAGATTTAAGGCTTTAATCCATTTTGATTTTTTTTTTAGATGGTGAGAGATAGGGGTCTAGTTTCCTTCTTCTGCTATGGATATCCAGTTTTCCCAGCACCCCTTATTGAAGAGATTGTCTTTTTTTCCAGCATATGTTCTTGGCAACTTTGTTGAAAATGAGTTTGCTGTAGATGTGTGGATTTGTTTCTGGGTTCTCTATTCTGTTCCACTGGTGTATGTGTCTGTTTTTATGTCAGCACCACGCTGTTTTGGTTACTATAGCTCTGTAGTATAATTTGAAGTCAGGTAATGTGATTCCTCCAGTTTTGCTCTCTTTGCTTAGGATAGCTTTGGTTATTCTGGGTCTTTTGTGGTTCCATATAAATTTTAGAATTTTGTTTTCTATTTCTGTGAAGAATGTCATTGGTATTTTGATAGGAATTACATTAATCTATAGATTGCTTTTGGGTAGTATGGACATTTTAACAATCCATGAACATGAAATATTTTCAATGTTTTTGGTGTCCTCTTCAATTTCTTTCATCAGTGTCTTGTAGTTTTTATTTTAGAAGTCTTTCACTTCTTTGGTTAATTCCTAGGTATTTAATTTTATATGTGACTATTGTAAATGGGATTACTTTTTGTTTCTGTTTTAGATTCTTTACCGTTGGCATATAGAATTGCTACTGATATTTGTATGTTGATTTTGTATCCTGCAACTTTACTGAATTTGTTGATCACTTCTAGTGGTTTTCTTGTGAAATCTTTAGGTTTTTCGAAATATATGATTATGTCATCTACAAACAAGGATAATTTGACTTCTAGGATAAGTTCTTGAAGGTCGTTCTGCCCATCCATTCTGGCAGATGTTTGAGATCATAGGTTTTTGTTGTTTAAAAGAAAATGTTTTTTTTTTTTTTTTTTTTTTTTTTTTTGAGACGGAGTCTCGCTCTGTCGCCCAGGCTGGAGTGCAGTGGCGCGATCTCGGCTCACTGCAAGCTCCGCCTCCCAGGTTCACGCCATTCTCCTGCCTCAGCCTCCCGAGTAGCTGGGACTACAGGCGCCCGCTACCACGCCCGGCTAATTTTTTGTATTTTTAGTAGAGACGGGGTTTCACCGTGTTAGCCAGGATGGTCTCGATCTCCTGACCTCGTGATCCGCCCGCCTCGGCCTCCCAAAGTGCTGGGATTACAGGCGTGAGCCACCGCGCCCGGCCAAGAAAATGTTTTTATTTTTCATTTTAATGGACTAATACTGCTTTTTCAGAGCAACGAGGAGAGGAAATGAGTCACATTAATATTCTTTCAACTCTTGGCTCCGGCTGTATCTGATTACCTACCTCCATGATTTTTTATTTTACTTGCACTTTGTGAGCCATCCCCACTTATTTTTGGTAAACTCATTTAAGCTGAGGTTCTCACTTAGTTGACATTGTTTTTTGGATGTCTCAAGCCATCTCAAATTAGATGGAGCTAATACTAAAACTTGGGTTCTTCTCTCCAAGCTAGCCCTCTTCCAGTTTCCCCATCCTAGTGATTGGAATCACCCTTCATCCAGTTATGCAAGTCAGAACCTTAGGTGTCACCCTAGATCCACTGCTGTCTCACTTCCCATATCTGATTATCATCACATCCTGGCCTATGTACCTTCTAAATAGCTCTTGACTCTGTCCTCATCTCTCCACTTCCACTGCCACCAATTTAGTCAAAGCTACCATTTAACCTCTGCCCTGGACCATTGGAGCAGCCAAGTACCTGATCTTTCTGATTTCATTTCTTGTAACTTCCAATTTGTTCTCCAGAGTGCAGAGTAATCTTTTTGACACACAGATCAATATGTCACTCCCTACTTAACATCCCACAATGGCTTCTCATTGCCCTTGGAATAAAGTCAAAGCCCCCTAACATGGCTTTTATGGTGTGGCATAGTCCATCCTATTTCAGTGCCTGGTATACATATCATGTTCTCTTCCACCACAGGAACTTGGAACGTGTGGTTTCCTCTGCTTGGAACATTCTCCTCTCCTCTTCACCTAATTAACTAAGACCCTGCTTCCTACTACAAAACCTCAAGGAGGAAGAAGGCCATTTCGTCTTCCCACATTCAGGCAGGCACATGATCTTAGCCTGAACAAGCAAATAAGTCTTAGGAAATGCTGCAAAAGCACAGGGCTGATTAGAGATTTTTCTTGGTTGGGCAGAGTTGAGAGTCCAGTGTCACAGTGGCAAGTGTCCGGGGATGGCAGTGGTGAATGTCCAACAGTCATGTCCCCATCAGGGCAGGTATTAGTTCCTGCAGCAGAGTCTTGGCTGTGCATAGCCTTCTTTGGTTCCTGCCTTAGTCTGATTCTTTGACATTTCTGTGAATGCCGTAAGCCATCTGATACTCTTCCATCAAGTTATTTTTCTTCTTAACTTGACCAGACTTAGTTTCATTTTTACAACCAAGGATCCTGATGAGTACAGTGTGACTCTTTGATTAATGGCTGCCTTGTCTTCCAGAGAGGAAGTTCTGTGGCTATTTTGTCAACTAATTTCATTCAAAGAAACTAACACAGTGCCTGGAATAGAATTAGTACTCAATAAATGTTTTTAAAAACATGAATAGGTAGATTCTTCTCTACATTTCAGTAGCAGTTTGCCCTGATCATTTTGTATTGCAATCCTGGTTTTGCCCTTAAGGACACATGCCTCATCTTATTTTTGTCTAGGGGCTGACACTCTTTGCCTGACTCACAGAAAGTGCTCCAGAGCTCTGTGTTGATCAAATGGAAACCACAAATTAACTTGCTTTGTGGAACTGTTTGGGAGATGCTTATCTTAGCACCAAGGCCTAATTCACATCTTTCCTCACCCTCCCAATCCCACTGGTCTGAAGTAGGTCACATACCTGGGTACCCTTTGTACCTTGGTTATTCAGTTCACTCTATGCTTTCCCTAACTAAATGGTAGCTACTTAGTGCCTGTCTGATTAAAGACTTCAGTTGTTTCGGGAACTCAGCATTAGAAATCCAAAGAATATATGTATGTTTTGTCACCATTCTTATGCAATTTACCTTGTGGGTTTTTGACATTCTATATGTTTAAAAAAATCTTTATTATTGAGGTATAATTTATACATAAGAAAATCCAGCAATTTAAAGTGTATAGTTTATTGAATACTAATGAACATATACAGTCATGCAATCACCACTACAATCACGATACAGAACATTTCCTCATTCCAAAAAAATGCCCTTGTATCCCTTTGTAGTCAATCCTTTCCTCACACTTCTAGCCCCTGGCAATCACTGATTTACTTTCTATACCTATAGTTTTGCCCTTTCTATAATTCAATATAAGTGGAATTAAACGGTAAGTACTCTTTGTGTCTCATTTCTTTCACTTAGCATGTTTTGAGATTCATCCATATTGTTGCTTGTATCGGTAGGTTGTTCCTTTTTATTTTCGAGAAGTATGCCATTATATGGACTTATCCGCATTAGTTAATACATTTACCATCTAATTTATTAGGGTTGTATCTAGGGTTTGGTTATTACAAATAAAGCTGCTATAAATATTTGAGTGTAAATTTTTGTGTGAACATATGTTTTAATTTCTCATGGTAAATCTAGGAATAGAATTGCTAGTTCATATGGTAAATATACATTCAACTTTTTAAGAAACTGCCAAACTGTTTTCCAAAGTGACTGTACCATTTTGCATTTCCACCAGCAATGTATAGGAGTCTTAATTGGGTCAGGCGTGGTGGCTCACGCCTGCAATCCCAGCACTTTGGGAGGCCAAGGCAGACGGATCACCTGAGGTCAGGAGTTCAAGAGCAGCCTGGCCAACATGATGAAACCCCGTCTCTACTAAAAATACAAAAATTAGCTGGGCGTGGTGGCGCACGCCTGTAATCCCAGCTACTCAGGAGGCTGAGACAGGAGAATCGCTTGAACCCGAGAGGCAGAGGTTGCAGTGAGCCGAGATTGCATCATTGCACTCCAGCATCGGTGACAGAGCGAGACGCCATCTCAAAAAAAAAAAAAAAAAAAGAAGAAGAAGAAGAAAAAGTTTTAATTGCTCTACTTACTTGTCAATACTTGGTATAATCATTCTTTATAAATTGCACTGGGGGGCCGGGTATGGTGGCTCATACCTGTAATCCCAGCACTTTGGGAGGACGAGGTGGGTGGATCATTTGAGGTCAGGAGTTTGAGACCAGCCTGGCCAACATGGTGAAACCCCGTCTCTAGTAAAAATACAAAAAAATTAACTGGGCGTGGTGGTGCATACCTGTAATCCCAGCTACTCGGGAGGCTGAGGCAGGAGAATCACTTGAACCCAGGAGACGGAGGTTTCAATGAGCCAAGATCGCACCACTGCACTCCAGTCTGGGTGACAGAGTGAGATTGCACCTCAAAAATAATAATAATAATGATGATAAGTTGCATTGTGTTTTTTTTGGCATTTCTGTAATGTCCAATAATGTTGAGCATCTCTTCTGTGCTTATTTGTCATTCAAAACTGTACTTTATCAAAGGGTCTATTCAAATTTTTTGCCTATTATAAAAATGAGATTAAAAAATTTTTTAATCATGTATTTTTTTTCTTATTACTGAGTTGCAAAAGTGCCATGTCTATTTGAAACCTGTTGGCATTTTGAATGAAAATGTGTTGACGCTATGGATCAATTTACAGAGAATTGTCATCTTAATAATATTTGGTTTTCTTATCCATAAATATGCTTTTTGTATTTATATAGGTCTTTAATTTCTCTCAGCAAAGTTTTATAGTTTCTCAGTGTGTGGCTCTTAAATATGTTTTATTAAATATATCCCTAAGTATTTAATATTTTTGATGTTATTGTGAATTGTATTTTTTATTTCAACTTCCAATTGTTCATTATAGTATATATGAATATAAATGATTTTTATATATGGATCTTGTATCCTACAATCTTGTTAAATTCATTATTTCTAGTAGCATTATTGGCCTGCAAATAAAGATGGTTTTAGTTCTTTCTTTCAAATCTGTATATCTTTTATTTCTTTTCTTAGCCTTATGGTGCTGGCTAGGGCCTTCAGTACAATATTAAATAGAAGTAGTATAAGCAGGCATCTTTGTCTTATTCCCAATTTTAAGGGAAAGAATTAAGATTTTCTCCATTAAATACGTTAATAGCTGGTGCAGTGGCGTGTACCTGTAGTCCTAGCTATTCAGGAAGCTGAGGCTTGAGGGTCACCTGAACCCAGGAGTTCAAAGTTTGAGGCCGGCCTTGGCAACATAGCAAGATCACATCTCTTAAAGAAAACAATAAAAAAGATGTTAGTTGTAGAATTTTTGTAGATACTCTTTACCAGGTTTAGGAAGTTCCCTTCTTTTCCTAGTTTGCTGAGAGAATCTTTGTTTTGTTTGTTTTGGGTTTTTCTTAAATCATGAATGGGTGTTAAATCTTGTCAAATACTTCTTCTCCATCTATTGATTATACAGTTTTTCTCTTTTCCTATGTTAATATGGTAAGTTCCATTAGTTGATCTTTGAACTTTCAACCAAACTTGCATTCTTGGGATAAACCCTGTGTAGTCCTGATGTTATCATATTGTGTACTGCAGGATGTGATTTGCTAAAATTTTCTAAAGACTTTTTGTATCTATATTATGAAGGATGATGGCCTGTGATTGTGTTTTCTTGTAATGTCTTTGTTTGGTTTTGATGTTGGGGTACTGCTTCCCTTGTAGAATGATTTGGGAAGTGTTCCCTCATCTTTGGTTTTCTCAAGAGTTTGTGTAGAACCGGTATTATTTCTTCCTAAAATGTTTGTTAGAATTCACCAGTAGAGCCACCAGGAGCTGAAGGTTACTTTGTGGGAGGTTTTTAAACTACAAATTAAATCTCCCTAATAGATATAGGGTTATTCACGTTATCTATTTGTTAATGTATGAGCTTTGCGAGTGTTTGTCATGCAAGGGATTTGTCCATTTCATCCAAATTGTTGAATTTATTGGCATGGCATTGTTTATAACACTCTTTTATTTTCCTTTTAATGTCTGCAGGATCTGTTGTGATGTTCTCTCTTTCATTTGATATTGGCGACTTGTGATCTCTCTACTTTTTCTCATCATTCTGACTAGAAATTTATGATTTACTTTTTTGTCTTTTCAAAGAAACAACTCTTGGTTTCATTGGGTTTTTTTTTTCTCTATTACCTTTCTTTTCCCTTTTTCTTTGATTTCTGATCTTCATTTATTTCCTTTTGCTTACTTCAGGTTTCATTTGTTCTTCTAATAATTTTTTAAGTGGAAGCTTAAATCATGGATTTGAGTCATTTCTTCTTAAATATTATTCTTCAATATGATAACTTTCCTTTTGAGCACTGCTTTAACTACACCCCACATATTTTTATGTGTTTTTGTTGTTGTTTTTATTATTATTATTTTTAAGTTCTGGGGTACATGTACAGGATGTGCAGGTTTGTTACATAGGTAAACGTGTGCTATGGTGGTTTGCTGCACCTATCAACCCATCACCTACATGTTAAGCCCAGCATGCATTAGCTGTTTTCCCTAATGCTCTCCCCTCACTGCCCTCCCCCAACAGGCCCCAGTGAGTGTTGTTCCCCTCCCTGTATCCATGTGTTCTCATTGTTCAGCTCCCACTTATAAGTTAGAACATGCAGTGTTTGGTTTTCTGTTCCTGCGTTAGTTTGCTAAGGATAATGACTTCCAGTTTCATCTATGTCACTGCAAAGGTAATGATCTCATTCCTTTTTATGGCTGCATAGTATTCCATGGTGTATATGTGCCACATTTTCTTTATCCAGTCTATCACTGATGGGTATTTGGGTTGATTCCATGTCTTTGCTATTGTGAATAGTGCTGCATGTGAACCTACACATGCATGTATCTTTATAACAGAATGATTTCTATTCCTTTGGGTATATACCCAGTAATGAGATTGCTGGATCAAAAATGGTATTTCCAGTTCTAAATCTTTGAGGAATTGCCACAGTGTCTTTCACAATGGTTGAACTAATTTACATTCCCACCAACAGTGTAAAAGTGTTCCTATTTTTCTGCAACCTCGCCAGCATCTATTGTTTCTTGACTTTTTAATAATCACCATTCTGACTGGTGTGAGATAATATCTCATTGTGGTTTTGATTTAGATTGCTCTAATGATCAGTGATGTTGAGCTTTTTTTCACGTTTGTTGGCCGCAGGTATGTCTTTTCTGAGAAGGGTCTGTTCATATCCTTTGCCCACTTTTTAATGGGGTTGTTTGTTTTTTCTCGTAAATTTACTTAAGTTCCTTGTATATACTGGCTATTAGACTTTTGTCAGGTAGATAGATTGCAAAAAATTTTTCCCATTCTGTAGGTTGTCTCATTCCTCTCCTGATCATTCTTGCTTTCCTCCAACTTATTGAATATATGGAGCATATTTGTAATAGCTTTTTAAAACATCCTTCTTTGCTAATTCCATTATCTTTGTCATTTTTGTTTTTTTCTATCAATTATTTTTTCCTCGTTATGGATCTGTTTTCCTGCTTTTTTGCATGCTTGGCATTGTTTGTTGTAGTGATTTCTCAGGCTTCTTTCTCTGGCCTCAGGTAGTTTTCTCTGACTCATGCACAGATCACTACTGAGTGGAAGACTTCAGAGCTCTGCTCTCTCCCTCTGTAGCTCCCTCCACTCTGAAGGAAATTCTAGCTGCTTTGGCTTCCTAAAACTTCAGTCTCTAACTCATTGAGACTGCTGTGCTCTGTTTGGGTTTTCTCTTTCTGCACTGCAACCTAAAAACTTCTTCAAGCAGAAAAATGGGGAAATTGTAGGGCTCACTTCATTTATTTCCCTCTGGTGGGGATCATAATCCCACATTGTCCAACGTCTTAAAACCATTGCTTCATATGTTTTGTCAGATTTTCTAGTTGTTTGGGGGTAAAAAGGTAAATCCAGTCCCTGGTAGTTCATCATAGCCAGAGGTAGAATTACATACATATTAGCTCAGCCAAGTTTAATCCCACAACTCTCTGGACTCCTTATTCTACCTCCCACACACAGATAAAAGCACACACAAATGTGCAACATTTTTGGTTTAGGTTTTAGTGGATAAGGAAATATATGACTGCTGTAAATCTGGAAGAACTGGGATGGAAGGTATTTTCAACAGAATATCCGAGATAACTAGATAGCCATAGTACTGGTAGGAGACTATCTTAGCCAAAAGTAGTACTCTGATTTCTCATCTACAATTGTGGATGTGTCTTAGAACTGTTTAATAATGAGCTGGGTGTGGTGGCACATGCCTGTAAACCCAGCACTTTGGGAGGCCGAGGCGGGCCACCTGAGGTTAGGAGTTTGAGACCAGCCTGGCCAACGTGGAGAAACCCCATCTCTACTAAAAATACAAAATTAGCTGGGCGTGGTGGCGCATGCCTATAATCCCAGCTACTGGGGAGGCTGAAGCAGGAGAAGCGCTTGAACCAGGGAGGCGGAGGTTGCCGTGAGCTGACATCATGCCATTGCACTCCAGCCAGGGCAACAAGAGTGAAACTCCATCTCAAAAAAAAAAAAAAAAAAAAAAAAGAACCGTTTAATAATGTTGAGTGTAGTGTGGGGCCTCCATTTACATACAGGAACAATCCTGATGGATGGTAGGAGTGGAGGCTCTGCTGTTGGCTTCCTTTGTTTCTGGGAATAAACCAATGTTGCCACTATCAAATTTGCAGGAGGCAATGATGAGAGCAGAAGTGGTGGAAGATCCCACCATTGGTCTTTAATTTTTAATTGGATAAACTTCCTTTTAGGTTTGAGAGCAAATACCTGACACAAAGGATGCCAGTATTAATGAATGCACAGTTAGGAAAAAGAGACACTAGCATTCTCTGTTCTATCTCGTCAGCAATTCTGGAGATGTCTAATAAGGACAACTACCAGGCCCTAGTTAATAAATATGGGTTTTGTAGCTTTTTATTATAATCATCCTATTTTAGTTTCAGAAAATATTTTGATTGGGTGGTTTAGACTTATTTGGAGTTGTCAAAATCCATATAACATAGCGGAATAACCTAGGACTTTGAAATGTGTGTCTCAAAATAGAGCTAGAAAAGGGAGGGGGGACAGAATCTGTGTTGGCTTTAAAATCCACTTGGAGCAAGGGAAATTTACAGCTCCAGCTTCTTCCTGAACTCTTGCAACATCACTGCTGATTCTGCACTTTGGGGGACAGGCTGTCATTTCAGTGCAGGTTGTTCATTTTAAATGATTTGTTCAGAACGAAATACTCTGTTAAGAAAACTTTGGGCTAAATTCTTTTACCAAAACATTTCCATGTCATACTAAACGATGAAATTTGCCACATCAATAGTATTTTAGAAAAATCAACTACAGTTGATAACAAAGTGCCCTAAATACTTGAAAAGGTCTGAGAGTTGCAGTTACCAGGAAGCTGTACATCTCCAGCTTTGTAGCACTTTGAAACAGGGCCATCTAGTGGAATCTCCTAATTGTGAAACTATGAGTGCATCCTTTAAGACCTTACATTTGAGTCTTTAAAATATGCGTTTTCATGCCTCTAGACCCAAATTAACTGTCCCCAATACAATCTTTTGCTCAGAAATAAGTATCTTTCCACTCAACTTTCCGCACTGATTAATTTTGTAATATCGTGTTCTGTGGATATACATTCAATTAAGTTTCTAAAACTAAGTTGTTTTCTTTTTTCCCTTCCTATGGAAAACAGCCCTTTCTAGCTTGTCTCCTCTCACTGCCACCCCCTCAACTGTGAAGTCTCATTGAAGAATTAACAAATGTATATGTGAGACGATCCAAGATTTATACAAGACGGTATATTATATAGGATCTAGATGTTTGTTACAGATGTAACTGGACTGTGTATGACCCATCAAACACATTGTTGGCATGTATGAGATGTCAAAGGATGTTTCTGTGGACTGGTTGCATATACCCTTCCTTAGCCCTCCAAGGAAGCGTATATATAAACCTCTCCCTAGCCAAATGGAATGAAGGGTTTGTTCATCAAACTCATTTTGTTCTTTTCCCAAAAACATAGCTAAATTACATTTTCCAGCATTCCCTGCAGTTAGGTGGGGCCCTGTGACTGAGTTCTGGCAAATAGAATGTGGATGGGAGACTTGCAGTTCTAGCTCCTAAAATATCCAACATCGTCCCCCATTTTTTTTGTCTCCCCTCCCCACCCACATCTGGTGGATGTCATTGCTCAGGCAGACCATGGGACCCTTTATCATCCTGCGTCCTTGAATGTCTGAGTAGAGCCTAATCCTACACCATAATCCCCATAACCTGCAATAGACTGTGATGGGGACATGAAATACACTTTTATCATTTTAGGCCAATGAAAATTTGGAGTTATCTGTTAATTACCCTGATTAAGACAGGAGAGAAGAAACTGGGAGAAAGAAAGAAGATAATAGGAGAGAAAGGCAATGATTTTCTTCAGAGACACATGTGAGCATTTGAACTCTTTTCTGCAAGTTTTAAGAGCAAGCACATGGTTTATAAATACTGAAAACATCCAGCAGAACAGCTGTAAGTAAAACCACAACACTCTGTTTGACAGAGTTTGCTCTTGTGGAGTCAGAGGCAGGCTGTGGCTGGAAATGATGAGGCTTGAAAAGAGGTGCTTCCCACAGCTTTAGCCATGGTGAGTGCAGTGTGAGGTGTTCACCACATGGGAAGTTTGGAAACAGGGCCTTGTCAGTTTAGCCACCAGACATTTACTAATGTTATCATACATCATTTCCTGCTAATTAAACTTCTTAATGAACTCTATTCCAAGATGTCCTGCAAAGATATGGATGTGCCTGTTTCCAAATAATAGCTATTTCAGGTATATTCAAGCTATGCAGAGTGGGATGTTGAATAAATTTTTCAACTGAGCCATTTGTGAAAGCAAAACTTGGCATAGGTTTAACAGACAAAGAAGCCTTTAGATGGGCAAAAGAAGCAAAAATCACTGAGCCACGGAGGTCAAAGTTTACAGAGGCAGTAGGACTTGGGTAAGACTCTCTGCTGGCAGATAGGAAGAACTCAAGGAGACGGTAGTGAATACGGTGATATTTTTGAAGGACAGAAATGCAATTGCTCCATAATGTAGGGTTGAGGTAGGGGAAGAGGGTGAAATTAAGTGGTGTAGGCAAAATAAAGGCAGGTTACTAAGAGCCTTGAAAACTATCGGTGGGATTTTTTGTTTGTTTGTTTGCTTGTTTTGAGACAGTCTTGCTCTGTCACCCAGGCTGAAGTGCAGTGGCACAATCTAGGCTCACTGCAACCTCCTCCTCCTGGGTTCAAGCGATTCTCTTGCCTCGGCCTCCCGAGTAGCTGGGATTACAGGTGTGCACCACCATGCCCAGCTAAGTTTTGTGTTTTTAGCAGAGACGGGGTTTCGCCATGTTGGCCAGGCTGGTCTCAAACTCCTGGCCTCAAGTGATCCACCCATCTCAGCCTCCCAAAGTTTGGGATTACAGGTGTGAGCCACCACCTAGCCTGGGATTTTGATTTGAAGCTACAGGCCAGAGTTCCTGGGTCAAATGCAGGCATACCTTGTTGTATCGTGCTTCACTTTATGACACTTCACATAAGTTGCATGTTTTACAAATTAATGGTTTGTGGCAATTGTATGGCAAGCAAGTCTATCCGCACCATTTTTCCAACAGCATATGCTCACTTCATGTCTGTGTGTCACCCGTTGGTGATTCTTGCAATGTTTCAGTCTATTTCATTATTATATCTGGTATGGTGATCTTTCATAGTAATCTTTGTTGTTACTATTCTAATTGTTTTGTGGTGCAATGAACCGCACCCATAGAAGATGGCAAACTTAATTGATAAAGGTTCTGTGGGTTCTGACTGCTCCACCAACTGGCTGTTTCTCCATTGGTTCATTAGGTTTAAGGAAAGAAGCCCTCTCCATAACAAAAGTGCAAGGTGAAGCAGCAAGTGCTGATGTAGAAGCTGCAGCGAGTTAACCAGAAGATGTAGCTAAGATCTGTGATGAAGTTGGCTACACTGAACAACAGATTTTCATTGTAGACCAAACAGTTTTATATTGGAAGAAGATGCCATCTAGGACTTTTATAGCTAGAGAGAAGTCAATGCCTGGCTTCAATGCTTCAAAGGATAGGCTGACTCTCTTGTTAGGGGCGAATGTAGCTGGAGACTTTAAGTGGAAGCCATTGCTAATTACCATTCTGAAAATCCCTAAAAAGCCCTTAAGAATTTTGCTCAGTCTACTCTGGTTGTGATCTATAAATGGAACAACAAAGCCTGGATGACAGCACATCTGTTTACAGCATGGTTTACTGAATATTTTAAGCCCACTGTTGAGAACTACTGCTTAGAAAAAGAGACTTCTTTCAAAACATTACTGCTCATTGACAATGCACCTTGTCACCCAAGAGCTCTGATGGAGATGTACAAAGAAATGAATGTTGTATTTATGCCTTCAAACACAGCATCCATTCTGCAGCTCATGGATCAAGGAGTAATTTCAACTTTCAAGTCTTATTCTTTAAGAAATACATTTCGTAAGGCTACAGCTGTCATAGATAGTGATTTCTCTGATGGATCTGGGCAAAGTAAATTGAAAACCTTCTGGGAAGGAATTTACTGTCCTATATGCCATTAAGAAGATTTGTGATTCATGGGAGGAAGTCAAAGTATCAACATGAACAGGAGTTTGGAAGAAGTTGATTTCAACTCTCATGAATGACTTTGAGGGGTTCAAGACTTCAGTGGAGGAAGTAACTGCAGATGTGGTGGCTATAGCAAGAGAACTAGAATTAGAACTGGAGCCTGAAGATGTGACTGAAGTGCCTCAATCTCATGATAAAGCTTGGTAGATGAGAAGTTGCTTCTTCTGGATAAGCAAAGAAAGTGGTTTCTTGAGATGGAAACTGTTCCTGGTAAAGATGCTATGAACATTGTTGAAATGACAGCAAAGGATGTCAAGTGTTACATA